>NC_000002.12:189004769-189307799 GCF_000001405.40 Homo sapiens
CACTAGTATTATATTCCTATAACATTCTAGTGCTTAGCATCTAAAACATTCGTTTGGTAAACAGGATAATAAAATTGCATTTTTATTAGGGCTCGTATTATGGCACTTTAAGTACTTCTTTCAACAAAATGTTATGTAATATTGTCATAAAATTAATATTTCATATTTAAGTGTGTTCAATTGATATGATATTTCTGGTAAGTGTATATTCTTCAGATAGAGACAAATAACCTAATTTTAAGGATCACCATACACCTCTAGTTTCATGATGGCTCATTATTGTTTTTCCCTATACTAATCATGTTTATGTATTCATCTCAGATTACAATGTACAGTATTCTGAATTAGATAATCAATGTAACTATTCAGCCCTTTGCCATCCAGAGTCACTGAGCAAGTTAGAAAATGCAAGAAGCTTGCTCCCCCATATTTTTTCCCATAGCAGGCATAGTTTTAATTTTAAAATTCAATGAAGATTAAATAAAATAAGTTTTTTACCTGAAAATAAAGATATCTGATAACACCATTTTAATTGATTTCTTAAGTTGAAACAAAATGTTTTTCATTCCTTTGTATACAGGGTGAAAGTGGGAAACCAGGAGCTAACGGTCTCAGTGGAGAACGTGGTCCCCCTGGACCCCAGGGTCTTCCTGGTCTGGCTGGTACAGCTGGTGAACCTGGAAGAGATGTGAGTAGCAGTTTTTATTCAACCAGCCAGGTAGAATTTGATAATTTATTTCAGCAAAGGTGAAATTGAGCTTTAATGTCTAAGAGTGTAAATATGGCCACATAGCAAAGTTCTTCTATCTCTAATAACAGAAATTCTTTCATTACAATTTAGGATAGACTTAAAAGCTCTTGTTCATTAGTATTTACCCAATGAATAATCATTTGTGGAGAAAATATTATCTCTAACTAAATTAGGAAAAAAGTTAGTGGGGAGAACCACAATTGACATGTTTTCTGAGTGAAAATATTCTACGGTTATCTATGGTTAGTCTTTTATTATTTTTAAAGAATTTAAAATTAATATTATTTATAATTAACAAATCATAATTGTATACATTTATAAGGTACAATGTGATGTTTTAATATATGTATACAATGTGGAATGATTAAAGCAAACTAATTAAACTGTAGATTTCCACTAACAGTTTAGATCACTATTTCTTAAACTTTTATTTATTAGAGGTCTGTAAAGACTCTTTTTGGATATCATTTTTCTAATCACCTCTCCTCCATGAATACACTAACTATCTGTCTGGACATTGTGACCCTTTGAAGGGCCACACTGCTTTGTAATATCTAAGATTTCTTACCCCCAAGAACCAATTTTAACCCCCTTGAGAATTATATTGCCCTGCTGAGAATGCATGGATGAAATGGCATTTGGAAGGTTTCAAGAAATTTTATTTCCTTTCTCATTTTTTAATCAGGGAAACCCTGGATCAGATGGTCTTCCAGGCCGAGATGGATCTCCTGGTGGCAAGGTATAATAAACACATGTGCAATTGATTTGTGTTATCAAAATAAGTGATCATCATGTTTATTTTGTACCTATGAATTTGTTCACAGGGTGATCGTGGTGAAAATGGCTCTCCTGGTGCCCCTGGCGCTCCTGGTCATCCAGGCCCACCTGGTCCTGTCGGTCCAGCTGGAAAGAGTGGTGACAGAGGAGAAAGTGTGAGTTCCCAAAAGCAGCATCTGTCTTGTTTGTCTATTTCCTTCAATAAAGACATTTGTAGGTAGAAGGTAGAATGTCAGATCTGCCAACCAAAATATCCACTGTCATTTGTTTTACAGTTTTAATGCTAGTTGTTCCTTAGACAAATGTGTGAATAAGTCAATACCAGAAGTACTTGGCAGTAGTCAATAAAGAATTCATTACTGAAACCCGAAATCATATTAATCAGACCAACTATCTATATGCTGGGTAAATGCAAGGCCAAGTTAACAGGGCTCTTGCCCAACTTTTCTGTCTAGATCCCCTGAGAAAGCTATAAACAGGGCTTTAGCACTTTGAAGGCAAAAACAATATTAACTTCCAATAATTGCATGCATACTATAATTCTATTATAATGAAATTATTTACTTTTGAAAACGAAATTGTGTCAACACATAAAACTAGTTCCGTGTATGTCTTCTCAATTGAATGTTTTCATCTTAGGGCCCTGCTGGCCCTGCTGGTGCTCCCGGTCCTGCTGGTTCCCGAGGTGCTCCTGTAAGTTTTGTCATTTTTTGGTTTTATTTTGTTTTGTTCTTTTTTTAACTCATTCTACAGTGTAGGAAATATTTTATTTTCCAGCGTGTTCAGGAAAAAAGAATGAATATATATATATATATATATATATATATATATATATATATATATTTGTTCTATCTATAGATAGATGATAGATAGATAGATAGATAGATAGATAGATAGATAGATAGATAGATAGAACAAATATAAACTTTCCTTTAATGACAATGATATGGAAAGCAGTTCAGGATCTAAAAGTTCTTTGGAGCCAAGGATAGAAACATCAGTTGTTAGGGATCCATGCAATGATCAGTCCAAAATGAAAACAACCACAGAAACAAATCTCATTTCCTATCTGAAGTGTCTGTTGATGGGGGATTTTTTAGCTGATAGAAAGCCATAAAATAGATTTAATTATTATAAATTCTATTTTATTTTTCCAATATGTATGTGTGTATATGACTTCAATTCAAAATATGTTTCTAAAGGGTCCTCAAGGCCCACGTGGTGACAAAGGTGAAACAGGTGAACGTGGAGCTGCTGGCATCAAAGGACATCGAGGATTCCCTGGTAATCCAGGTGCCCCAGGTTCTCCAGTAAGTGCATTCATTTTGTTGGAAAATCCCTTCAATGTATACAAATTTTAGAGATTAAGAGAAGAAAGCTTTCCATCTCTAAAAATATGTACTAGAAGAGATGAGAAATGGATTTGAAGGCTAATTTGAAACAACAATCAGCATGACACAATGGGAAGATTAAAGAAAGAAAAAAAATTTCATCATGATCCCCATGTTTCTTGATCTGATCTTGAATGTACAGTTTCCCAGTGCTTTTTAAGGCCTTCACTCCTATGTACACTTCCTTTCTTTCCAGGGCCCTGCTGGTCAGCAGGGTGCAATCGGCAGTCCAGGACCTGCAGGCCCCAGAGTAAGTAGCACAGAAAGATATTACAGGTCCACATGTTTCAGATGTCTGCATTTCAGAAAGATATTCTGGCATTGTGATGTCATGATACTTTCTTAGGGACCTGTTGGACCCAGTGGACCTCCTGGCAAAGATGGAACCAGTGGACATCCAGGTCCCATTGGACCACCAGGGCCTCGAGGTAACAGAGGTGAAAGAGGATCTGAGGTAAGACATCACTTATACGTATGTGTATTTAATTTGCTACAATCTTCCAATTTTCAGAAACACAGCGCATTATGTTTAAATTGAAATAGAGAGACGCAATGCATCCACTCAATTTAGAAACTGAACAATGACTTTAAGACATTCTCCATCACATTAAAAATGTTTCTACCACACTATAACAGGAGAAAAATACCTTTTTAAAAATTTGATCAGGTATCCATCGTATCAGAATAATGACATCTGCCCAATTAACCAAATAAACCCTGTCCACATTGCTATCCCACTAGAGATCTCAGAATTACAACATTCATAATTATCTGCGTTTATGTAGTGCATTTTACTTCTCAAACAGCTTCCATGGTTACTATTTTGTTAATGATACTATCATTCCTAATACTTTCTATTCCATGCCTTTGGGTAAATGAAATAAAAACAATTATCCCAACAAATTACACTCCCCTCTGTCATGTCAATATTGGAATTGTAGCTCACAGGTGTTTGCTTACATCAGTCATCCAGAAGGAAGAATGATAGAGAAAACTTGTGCTCTGACACTACTGATTCTTACATAGTGGAACAATATCTTTCTTGATAATGAATTGTAGTTATTATAAATCGGTGATCACGTGACCCTAAAGGCACCCAAATAAATCTTTAGTAAAATAATTCTGATGACACAATGAATGAATTATTTTTAAGGCATTTTCTTGGACTAGCAATGTATTCTTAGAGTGGCGACTGAATGTGCATACCTCAATGATCCATGTTTTACTCATTCTAGGGCTCCCCAGGCCACCCAGGGCAACCAGGCCCTCCTGGACCTCCTGGTGCCCCTGGTCCTTGCTGTGGTGGTGTTGGAGCCGCTGCCATTGCTGGGATTGGAGGTGAAAAAGCTGGCGGTTTTGCCCCGTATTATGGAGATGAACCAATGGATTTCAAAATCAACACCGATGAGATTATGACTTCACTCAAGTCTGTTAATGGACAAATAGAAAGCCTCATTAGTCCTGATGGTTCTCGTAAAAACCCCGCTAGAAACTGCAGAGACCTGAAATTCTGCCATCCTGAACTCAAGAGTGGTATGTTTGGTAGTCTTTCATCTTCATGGCAATAGGATTACAGAGAAAGCTGCTTAGATTAGAATGGGAACGAAAAAACATCTACTTTCAATGGAAAGCTGAAATAGTACTTTAAGAAAGTTAACTGAATTGAAACTGCTTGATATAAAAGAGTAAACTTTGCAGATGTAAAATATAACATAACTTCAGATCATGCCAAATACAGAAAAATATAAAGACATTTTTGTAGAAGTTGTAGTATAAATTGTAAGTTATTTGAGTATAAAGTAACATATCTTTTTTTCTCAGGATTAAATATACATAATTTGATGCAGACAATTATAATCTGATTATTGTAATATTTACTTATTGCAATGAATCTAATTATTAAAATTTTCAAATTAAACAAGTGAAAAATTTCAGAATACTGTATAAAATTAAATAGAATATTGTAATAGTTTAAGGTTTTGCATATATTGGGTTAAATATTTCTGAAAAGCAAAATTATTTCAAGTTTTCAAATATCTTGACATGGAACACTGCCTTTGCTAGGAGTCATTTCTAGAAATTACTTAAAATAGGAGACAAGCATCAATCATAGGGATTTCAGCTTTAGAACTATTGGAACAAATCTAGGTTAGACAACCAGCTTATATTATTAAGCAAGATTACATATAATAATCATCTTTTTTTAAAGGAGAGACTTTTGCAAATATTATACAGCAATCAAAAGGTCTTAGCTTAGTGTATCATCCTTATTAGAAACCAAGATGTTGCATTTTATTTCAGTGCTTTCTGTAGTCATAGCTAACTCTTTTACCTCAGCAATTTCAATCAAAAAGCTTCTCTATCATTCTATACATAAAATGCAGACACATTAGCAGTCAACATTATGAATGCCTTTACAGGTAAACAAACAAAATCACTTTATTACTGGATTTTATAACCAATTCCCATTCTTTTTTGTGACTATTCAGGAGAATACTGGGTTGACCCTAACCAAGGATGCAAATTGGATGCTATCAAGGTATTCTGTAATATGGAAACTGGGGAAACATGCATAAGTGCCAATCCTTTGAATGTTCCACGGAAACACTGGTGGACAGATTCTAGTGCTGAGAAGAAACACGTTTGGTTTGGAGAGTCCATGGATGGTGGTTTTCAGGTAGGAAAGGATATACCTTTTTTTAAATAAGTCACCTCTATATCCTTTGTATTCTTCCTATATGTTCATCACAAAGCAAAGTTACTAGGTTGGTACAAACATAATTGCAGTTTTTGCTACTGAAAGTGATGGCATGCAATAAAAATATTTTCACACATAAAATACTCGTACATAAAATATATAAACAGCCCATATTACAATATGCATACACATACTACATGAATCCCTCGCGTGCAGTTACAACTGAAATGTTTGATCTGTTTTATTTGTTCCCTATTACAGTTTAGCTACGGCAATCCTGAACTTCCTGAAGATGTCCTTGATGTGCATCTGGCATTCCTTCGACTTCTCTCCAGCCGAGCTTCCCAGAACATCACATATCACTGCAAAAATAGCATTGCATACATGGATCAGGCCAGTGGAAATGTAAAGAAGGCCCTGAAGCTGATGGGGTCAAATGAAGGTGAATTCAAGGCTGAAGGAAATAGCAAATTCACCTACACAGTTCTGGAGGATGGTTGCACGGTAGGAAACATTTTTCTCAATATAGGTCATAAAGCAGTCAGCATTTTAGTTTAATCATGCAAATTATTTTGAATAGAATAAATAAAATTAATAGGATGAAATAAAGATAGCATTTGGTATGAATTACATACATTGCATCTACTGATTCATTGCAGGGAATGTTAAATGCAACAAAATGGATCTTAGCCTCCAGATGAAAACCAGTTGAAATAAAAGCATTTAAAATTTAAATCCATAATGCAAACTTTATCAGATAATTGGGATAGTTACTATATGTTTTGAATAATACCTGTCACATTAACTCAGTTTGAAATATCTGTTTTTTAAAATTTTAAAGGTTAACTTCAAATCTCTCATTTGTTATTGTTATTTGTGAACAAAGGGAAAACTCACTTCTAATATTAGCGAATTTCATTGTGAGAGACCTATCCTCTTTTTAATAAACCATTTATAAACCTGTTAGCAATGGCCGGAACCAGGCCTCCTGAGGATGCACTGGTCTATAGCAATTGCCCTGCTGCATTTACTAAGAATCCTTACAAGGCATTTGTTTAAGAATATTGTTTATCAACTAAGAAGATTACAGCTTTGAAGTAGAGCAGGTCTCATATACATGAATAATAACATGGCACGATGAATGCTTCTTTAGAGTAAAAAGGTTTTCTTTAACTTGTTAAGTCAGAGTTGTCTAAGTAATTGTAATGTCATGATCATGTACATTTTGTCCTTTTTTACAGAAACACACTGGGGAATGGAGCAAAACAGTCTTTGAATATCGAACACGCAAGGCTGTGAGACTACCTATTGTAGATATTGCACCCTATGACATTGGTGGTCCTGATCAAGAATTTGGTGTGGACGTTGGCCCTGTTTGCTTTTTATAAACCAAACTCTATCTGAAATCCCAACAAAAAAAATTTAACTCCATATGTGTTCCTCTTGTTCTAATCTTGTCAACCAGTGCAAGTGACCGACAAAATTCCAGTTATTTATTTCCAAAATGTTTGGAAACAGTATAATTTGACAAAGAAAAATGATACTTCTCTTTTTTTGCTGTTCCACCAAATACAATTCAAATGCTTTTTGTTTTATTTTTTTACCAATTCCAATTTCAAAATGTCTCAATGGTGCTATAATAAATAAACTTCAACACTCTTTATGATAACAACACTGTGTTATATTCTTTGAATCCTAGCCCATCTGCAGAGCAATGACTGTGCTCACCAGTAAAAGATAACCTTTCTTTCTGAAATAGTCAAATACGAAATTAGAAAAGCCCTCCCTATTTTAACTACCTCAACTGGTCAGAAACACAGATTGTATTCTATGAGTCCCAGAAGATGAAAAAAATTTTATACGTTGATAAAACTTATAAATTTCATTGATTAATCTCCTGGAAGATTGGTTTAAAAAGAAAAGTGTAATGCAAGAATTTAAAGAAATATTTTTAAAGCCACAATTATTTTAATATTGGATATCAACTGCTTGTAAAGGTGCTCCTCTTTTTTCTTGTCATTGCTGGTCAAGATTACTAATATTTGGGAAGGCTTTAAAGACGCATGTTATGGTGCTAATGTACTTTCACTTTTAAACTCTAGATCAGAATTGTTGACTTGCATTCAGAACATAAATGCACAAAATCTGTACATGTCTCCCATCAGAAAGATTCATTGGCATGCCACAGGGGATTCTCCTCCTTCATCCTGTAAAGGTCAACAATAAAAACCAAATTATGGGGCTGCTTTTGTCACACTAGCATAGAGAATGTGTTGAAATTTAACTTTGTAAGCTTGTATGTGGTTGTTGATCTTTTTTTTCCTTACAGACACCCATAATAAAATATCATATTAAAATTCTCCTGTTTTTTGTCACTTTTCAAAGATTTAAAAAATGCACGTCTACATTAAGGAACTCCAGTAATCTTGAAAAAGTATATTGAATTCTAACTCTATAGATTAATAATGCAATAATTTTTAAGAATATAAAATAATATAACATATATTCAGAGTAGAGATAATGCTCAATGAGGAATCCTGCAGATTTTTAGATCATATTTGCAGGAACCCCTGTGGGACATACTGGACACTGAGGGCATTCTGTTTGAAAGGGTCAATCCTTGGAAATGGTAACACAGTAAATCAAGGTATTCCCAAACTGGGAATAATAAGGGAGGAAGATGTTGATAGTTTATCAGAAAGTAATTGTAATACGGGTCTATTGAAATATATTAATATTAAGAAAAATTGACAAGTACCACATGATCTCACTTCTATGTGGAATCTAAAAGAGTTGAATTCATTGATGAAGAATAGAATGGTGGTTTCCAAGGGCAGAAGGTGGGGTGGGGTTGGGAGATTTTAGTCTATGGATACAAAATTGCAGTAAGATAGAAGTTATAAGCTCAAGAGATCTATTGTGAAACGTGGTGACCACAGTCAATAACAATGTATTATATTTTTGAAAATTGCGAAGAGAGTAAGTATTCTCACCACAAGAAATGATGAGAACCTGAGATACTGCATATATATGCATATGTATCTCTGTCTTCCTACATATACATATATATACACATACATATATGTATACACACACACACAAATATATATATATATATATATATATATATATATATATGTATAGAGAGAGAGAGACAGAA
Source organism: Homo sapiens (assembly GCF_000001405.40). Classification (NCBI taxonomy): domain Eukaryota; kingdom Metazoa; phylum Chordata; class Mammalia; order Primates; family Hominidae; genus Homo; species Homo sapiens. The sequence goes on from NC_000002.12 coordinate 189,013,547, forward strand.
CTCAAATCAATAGTATGAATTAATAAATTAGATACTTGGAGTTTTATTTTAGACCAAGAAAGATATCTGGAACACAATGTTCTGCCTCCTGTATTTGTAACTTAATGTATCACAGAGAGTAGTTCATTTCATTATATATAGCTCTAACTTATTGTGTGTTATTGATCCCAATACTCAGTTTAATGAACACACGAGTTAAAATTACTTGTTTGCCTATTTGTTTATTTATTTGCTACCAAGTATCTAAAGCCCTATCTCATTGCAGGGAAGTTACAGTTAGATGAGTCTTGGTTGAGGTTAGAGGCCATAGACAGTTGCTTTCCTAACCTGTCTTGAGTTAGGGTGTAGGCAAGTGGCCATGTGACCTGAGCTTGGCAAATCAGAGACACACACCTGAAGGTCTCAATCTGGGGATAATTGTATTCACTTCATATTACTGCTGTAGCAAGTTACCATAAATTTAGTGACTTAAAACCACACAGATTTCTTGTCTTACACTTCTGAACATCAAAAGTCTAAACTGAGTCTTACTGGACTCAAATGCAAGTGTCAAACAAGGTTGTCTTCCTTTCTAGAGACACTAGGGAGAAACTGTGTGTTCCCTTTTCCAGCTTCTAGAGGCTGCCCAGCTTCCTTGGTTCATGAGCCAGTTCCAACATCAAAGCCAGAAATATTTGGTCAAGTCTTTCTCACGTTGTCTCATTCTGACATTGGCTCTTCTGTCTTCCTATTTCACTTTTAAGGAACCAAATGATTGCACTGGGCCCAAATGGATACTCCAAGCTACTCTCCCCATTTCAAGGTCAGTTGGTAAGCAACCTTAATGCCTGCTGCAACCTTAATTGCTCCTTGCCTTGCCAAAAAATGTAATATATTTACTGGCTCTGGGGATTAGGGTATGAACATATTTGAGGGAGCATTATTCCACCTACCAACAATAGTGATGCAAAGAAGTAAAAAGAATTAAAAATCCAGTTTGGTGGTGATCACAGCTATAGTTGGGGCAGCAACCGCCAGATATCAAAAGAAGCATGGCCAACAGTGCCAGAAATGGCATCCAGTGTCTTGTGTTTATGATGGCTTTGCCAGGTTGCTTTTAGGGTATGATTTTGAAGATGGCTCTGAATGTCAGCATTCACTTCATTTTTTGTTGATTTTATGCACCTGGATTCTATAGCTTTCTCTGAATTCCTCTGAATTTCAGATAAAAATCCATAAATTACATTTTTACTTCAGTGAGCTAAAGTTGGTTTAGATTGTTTACAACTAAGCCTGACTAGGCCAGCAATTGGTAACAGCAGGGCTGGCAGGAAGCAGAAATGCAAGCAAATGGAAAGACTCTGAGATCAAATGTTTGTACTAGTTAGGGGTAAAAATAGAAAATCCAGCTTGTATCCGGGAATGAGAATTTGGAAGTCCATGGAAATAGGATTAATCATTTATGATTACATTGAGTGATTTGCACTTTAAAGACAAGGCTTAAGGAGATAAGTGGCCTCTACTACACAACAGTATGTTTGAATTTCATGAGAAATTGCAGGACTGCATGTGAATGTGGCTGCTGTGAATGGTGATGAACAGAAAGAGAATGACAAGTTCAAATCCCTAACTTCTTGATTTAAGACACAGAAGAAAATCTATGCCCTTTCCCTGACTATGCTAAAATAAAAGCATACTATCTTTCTGGAAAAAAAGAAAAAAAATTCATATTTTTGCCAAAGGTTTGAGATACTAAAAACCAAATACAAATCTTAATTCTGCAGATCACCAGACTTCAACATAAATCTAAATGGATTTTCCAATTCTCTATTTGATTCTCTATAATTGGGAAACAGCAAGACCCTGGAAATTTAAATGGGGTTTATGGAAGAATTCTCTTTAAACATTCCAGTTTCACATTAAGTTTCTTTAGACATCTGAAATGGGATCTGCATTCCTTGCCTGGTAATTGTTCCCCCATTCTGAAAATGCAAGCTGACTACAAGAAAAAGCCAATTCTCTTCAGACCTCATTCTCACCACTGCTTATTGTCTCCAGATTTGTAACTGAAGTCAGATCCCAGAATGCCTCAGGGGGTAGCAATTTAAAGGTCAATCTCAGGAGGAGGTTTACACATAAAAAGAATGGAAGGATTTAACTAATTTATATTGTTTAAAATCTGAGAAACGTGTGTAGGAGTGGATTTTGAGATACTAGACAAAAAAGAACAGTGAAATTTGGATAAAATGTATCAATATATGAATGTAACAAAGAGTTATAGGAACATTATAATTATTAACATGGTTGAACTGAACTCAGGCCTCAGAGGTTGCCCAAACTGAATGAATTTGAGACATTACAAACTTTCTGACAGGTGGAGAATGTAATTCAGAAACTTAAGAAGATAGAAATATTGGAATGAATTTATCATATGTGATACAACCATTCACCTTCTGAGTATATTCTCAAGGTGGACCAGTACGGTTTTGAGAAACACGTGGTGGCCTGCATGCCGGCACCTTTGAATAATCTCCTTGTGTGTCTGTAGTCTGAAGAAGGAAGTAGAAAAAAATCTAGCTGAAATAGGCTTCTTGATTCAATGGAGATGACAGGATCCGAGCTTGCAGAGGACAAAGGGCAACTCTAGACTGCCGGAAACAAAGTGAGAATGATATTGTACAAGATAGCAGGACTGTCATGGTAGAAAAAATAAAATGGCATAATTCAGAAGTAATGTTGTCGGTGGCTGATTGATAATGAGAATGATGAGATGTCTGGGACAGTCACATTTATGTCTTTTATAAACAATAATGACAAATATATTTAGTTCAGGTAAAAGAGACCTCAGATCAGCAACCACACAGGCCTCAAGACTTTCTTCAATTCCCAGACTATAAGATGGTTAATAAACCTAGTCTCCTTAAAGGAAGCATAAGTTCAGTGCTTTGGAGGAAATCTCCTGCAATAGAATCACAACTGATAAGCACTTACCATGGGCCAAGCATTGTTCTAGTCACTTTAAACTTATTAATTTGTGTATTACTCACTTGTGGCATCTCATCTATTTCCATAATGCTAGTCATCAATTAAATTAAAGATAATTCACAAATTGACTTCTGGCTTTGTGGAACTAAAGACCCATATATTCTATGGACTAATTGAAATTCCCATCAAAGTTTTGAATATCTGTAATGTAGCAAGTAATATAAAGCTTTTAAAGAGATCATTCCAGGAAGAGAGAAGAGCAATAGCATGAGGAGAGGAATGTTCTGGATGTGTCCAAGGAAAAACAAAGTGAATATGGTTGTGACAAAATCAGTATCTGGGGGAGGAGTACAAGAGAAAGCCATAGGAAAAGAGGAGACAAATCATGTGGAGACCTATAAGAAGGGTGACCATAGGTGCAGCTTTGCCTTGGAAAGTAATAGTTTATGCCTATGTTCCCAATGTCTAATAAGATTTAGTATTGTAGAACTCAGAAATATCCTGATCGGATGACATTATATGGTCACCCTAATTTTATCTGGCCACTGAGGATATTGGCTGTTGCCTCAGTTAGATGAGAAGCCACTGTGATAATGGATGACACAATCTGGCTTGCAGTTTTAGAGTATTTCTGTGACTGCTGTTTAGAGACGACTGACTGTGTGTTAAGAGCAGAAACCATGAGAACAGTCATGAGTCCATTGCAATAGTCTAAGCCAAGGATGACAGTCGTCTCCACCAGGGTGGTAATAGTAGAAGAGATGAAAAGTAGTCATGTTCTGGATACATTTTGAATACAGAGCCAACAGGAACTGCTGACAATTTGGATGTATGGTTTAAGAGAAAGAGAGATATCAAGCATGAATCCAAGGCTTTTGGTCCAAGTAGCTGGAAGAATAGAGTTGCAGCTAAGATGGGGAAGACTAAGGTAAAAAATTTGAGGAACTCAGTACTTTGAAGCTGGGCATGTTACATTTTGGATGCTTATCGCTCTTTTAAGCAGACTTGCTGGAAATCAGAGGAGAGGTCCAGGCTAGAGAAATAAATTTAAGAGTTTCAGCGTATGGCTTTTACATCCTCAGAAATAGAAGAGATCAGGCCAGGCATGGTGGCTTATGCCTGTAATTCCAGCACTTTGGGAGGCCAAGGTGAGAGGATCACCTGAGGCCAGGAGTTCGAGACCAGCCTGACCAACATGGTGAAACCTCGTTTCTACTAAAAATACAAAAAATTAGCCACAGTGGCACGCGCCTGTAATCTCAGCCACTTGGGAGGCTGAGGCAAGAGAATCACTTGAACCCAAGAGGTGGAGTTTGCAGTGAGCCGGGATCATGCCATTGCATCCAGCTTGGGCAACAAGAGCAAAATTACGCCTCAAAAAAAAAAAAAAAGGAAGAAAAGTAGAGAAGATCATGAAATAATAGAGTGTAGAAAGAAGAAAATATGAATGCCTGGGATACTTTAATATTCACAAATTGGAGAACTGAAGAGGAAGCAACAAAGGAGAGAGAGAAAGAATGAAAGGAAACCATGAAAGTGTAGTGACTTAGGTGCCAGGTGAAAAAGTTTAAATTTCAGAATTGTGGCATTAAGGGAAGAAATGAATTTAGAGTCAATGTATTCCAAGACCACTAATTATAGATTTTTAAAAGCAAGGTCAATTGCGGTTATATGAGTTTTTCTGTCTATAAATGGCAGATAGTGATGCAATGCAATCCTTTATATCATAGTTACGTTATCTCGTTATTATCTCTTTCATGATGGAGGATTAAATACAACTTTCTTCACCCTCAAACTGACATTTTAACAAAGATTATTTTACTTCCTTGACTAAAATAAAATGTATTTTATAAAGATTGAGGATGAAGTTAATGCAGCCATTATAACATAATTAGAACATGCAGGAAACTAAGAAGAAAAATAGAGTATACGTGTTCCAGATCAGTGGCTATTTCCTTCAAGTCTTCTAAGCATATTCTAACATAATTGGGATAATACTATTTATGCAATATTGTATGCTGCTTATTTTACTTAACATAATATTACTTTATCCATAAAAATGTATTTTTAAATTTTTGGTCAAATTAGGAGAAATATAGAGGAAACTGTTCTTACAGGATGATGGCTCCAAAGTTAGAAATCACATCAAAGGGAACTTTCTTTTATCTAGTGTATACTAAAATCCTATTTTTCTGGGTTCTGTCTTAGAGGAATATGCCTATTTTTAAAAGTGAGTCTGAAACTATGAAAAAATATTTTCTTTTCATACATAATTCTTCACTGAGTCATAACTCACTAAGCTAGCTTGATACAGTATTGGTGAAAACATTCTGTACAACACAGCATACTTGAAAGATCTCCCCAAATCTCCATATTCTCTAGTCTGCCCCATTGAAGGTTTTCAGAAATCTTGCAAATAATCACTTGTTGAGTCAATGCCATAAACAAAAAGACTATCATCTATGGCTAACATTTTTTATTAAACAAGTTTTTATCTGATATTTTGCTCATCCTTTTTCTTTTCATTGCTTTAATCTTCCTGAAAAACATCTTTACCTTTAAAACTCCTGAATGTTTTCACTAAAATGCATTGAATTACTTTGCATTTTTGGACAATATCTGCTATGATATTTATTAACAGAAATCAGGTTGCCCTTTGAGGTCCATAAAATTTAGAAATAGGAGTTATGATATTTCACGCCAGTTTAGTGATTTTGTGGGATATACTTTCCATTATCTTTAAAATGAGATACCCCATAATGGAGTAGGAAAAGAAGCAAAAGTTAAGCTCTGTCTTTGGTTGAGTTCCCTGAAAACAGACTGTAAGGCAGCTAATGATGAGCAGAAGATTTACTGGGGAGTCATCTTGGGAGATACATCTGTAAGGAAATGAGAAACGTAGGTTTAGACAGAGGGGGAAGCTGACCCCATGCAATTGATGGAGGTTTCAGGGGACTCTGCAGGAAACTCTGGAACTGAGGTGGCCCTTCAGAGTTGCTATAATTCACAGTAAGAGGGATGGGTCTTTTTATTCCTGAATCAGACAGTCATTGACTGTGGGCTGAAATTTGGAAGGGGTGGAGGTTACATTTGTAAAGCAGTCTTCGTGACTGAGGGCAATTCTATGTGAGAGACACTGCTGTGAACTCTCAGTAACAACTATTTTCAGTGGCTGCTATCAGCTGCTATCAATGTTTTGGCTTTGAAAAGGGCATACATGTGGATTACCAAATTATAAGCTCCTCCTATATGTTCAGTACTCTTCTAAACACTATAGGGAAATATATCACATGATTGTCCGTCTTTAGGTGTGTGTTGTCTAGGGTAGATAGGTTGAACCCAAATGAAGTTGCACAAAAGCATTCAAGACAAGCAATTAAGTGCTAAATTGTGCTGAGCTAACTATAAGAGATAAAGATAGTAGATGAGAAAAATAATTGGTCAATGATGATTATATTTTCAGGACTGTCTTCTTTAAAAAGATAAAATGTATTGTACAATAAAAAAGAGTGTTATTTGAGTAAACATTGGAGAAAAGGAAAACCACTTTGGACTAATAAACAAAAGAAGAGAACAAATAGAAGAATGATTATCCTATGTCCATAGCACAGTGAAGAACCCAGGCTACCTAAATCCATTCATTTTAATTCAGCCACAGTATTGAGCAATTACTAAATGCAAGGCTCAGAACCAAGTGCCCAAGATTATTCAAGGAGAAAAAGAGATCATGAAATTTAGTAAAAGTACGATGACACAAGCATGTCACAAGACTTAACATAATAATTTGAATTAGAGAAATACAAGGTACTAGTGATGGCAGCAGCTGTAGCCATCATGCAGGCTGCAGCAAGGAGGCACAGGGAGGCACAGCTGGGGCTGCACACTCCATGGAGCTGGTGGGAACCCTGACCCTTCTGAGTTGGTGCAGGAGCTCCCCAGGTGCCACTGCAGCTGCCCAAACTGCAGCTGCAGACCCAGGTCTCCCACTCTGTGGAGCAGGCAGGAGCCCTGCCCTCCTGGGTGGGAGTATAGTCACCAAAGCTGTGGCTGTGGATCTGAGCCTCCCTGTGCTCTTCGAGGGGGCATGAGCTTCTCAGGTGCAGCTGCAGCTGCCCTCCCAGGCCCAGGACCTGGACATCTCTGTAGCCTGCATACTTGAGGTCCCGGGAAGTTCCCCATCGCTCATCCCCGTAGGCTTGAGGGTATCTGCTCTGGCTGCTTGGCCTCTGTCCTCTGCTGCCGCAGCTCTGATCTCACCCCGGGTTGCAGCTGAGCCCTGGGGTCATGAATAACAGTGGGACACAGAGTCCTGGGCAGAAGTTGGTGGGTCCCTGGTAAGGCCCCACCTTCAGGCTAGAGAGGGCCTAAAGGTTACGGGCCAGGCTGCCTGTCCCATGGACCAGAGTGGGGACTTGTGGTGCCTCTCCCAGGCCACCCATGGCCATCCATGACCAATCGGCAGGCACTTCCTCCCCTGTGAGGTCCATAAAAGCCCTGGGCTCAGCCAGAGCAGGGCACAGGATGGAGAGGACAGAGAGAAAACAGGACAACCAACTGCAGAGAGGAACTACCCCCCTCTGCTGAGAACTTCAGAGACCTGCAGAGACGTCTGAATGATCTGCAGAGAGAAGCTACCCTCTCCAGGGCTTCTTCTCTGCAGAGAACTGAACACTCCACAGATGACTTGCCTGCGGAGAGAAGTTACCCACCGTGGGTCTCATCTGAGCTGCTGTAATGCTCAATAAAGCTCATCTTCGTCTTGTTCACACTTCACTTGTCTGTGTACCTCGTTCTTCCTGGATGCACAACAAGAACTCAGGCCGAGGCACCATGGCCACAGGGGTTTCCAGCCAGAAAATTGACACCCCGAAGATCCCGTAACATGAGAATGGCACAAGGAATGAACAGTCATGTCCACTTGGAGGCTCTCAAGACAGGCTACATGAAGCAGATGACATGTGGGACCAACTTTAAATAATATAATGTTTTTCAGGTAGCAAGAGAAAGGAAGACCACAGAAAATACTGTAAGGAAAGAGGTGCAGAGTTGGGAGGCATACTTGGCAATTTAAATTATCCCAGTTTCAGAGGGAGCATGGGTGTCAAGCAGTGGTGTTGTGAGAGACGAGGCTGGAAATACAGTCTAGACATGAGGCCTTAGAATAGCAAGGTGATGACTTTTTATTTTGTCTGCTTCTCAATCTAGAGTCATAAAAAGGTATTAAATATTGAAAGGCTGTTGCTTGAGGAGAGCACAAAATCAAGGGAAACATGGGGAGCCATGGCCAGATTTACAGGCAATGAAGAGATACCCATTGTGGGAAGAAGGAGGCAGATTGGATCTCCATTTTAGGAAAGATGAGGATGAGACAAAACAATTTTAGCAGGGAATCAGAACACCTTTTCTTCAAAGACTAGACTGAAGAAAGAGTCACAGAGTGTAGACATACTTGCTGGGAAAATTAGGTTAAGGAGGGAAATGGGGTCAGGCTGAAGGAGAATATCAATAGTCAGGCAAGAGACGTTTCCATTTAATAAGGACTGAGTGGAAATTTACACAACCTCAGGCTTACTCGCAGCTTTCTACGTGGCAGTTAAACGTGGCAGTGATTCATTTGGAAGGGTGGTTGAACATGATAAAATGTGTGACTGATTGGAGAATACTAGGTCAGAGGCAGCTAAGTCTATTTGGAAATTATCCTTCTGCAGATGGTGGATGAAATCATCTGGCTCCAAGATGAAATCATCAGGGAGCAAAACTTCCAAAGGAAAGGGGAAAAGAACAGCATGGTGTGTACGTGGTGAGAAGGAGGATGTGGAGGAAACGTCACCAAGGGTCTGATTCGGGATACTGTAGCTTTTAATCGTTTTTGAAAAGGAGGATTCAATTTTGAGGGCTCAGGTTGTGATTAATTCAGGGCTATGAGGAGAGAGAGGAAACTGAACAGAAGGAGGGCTTCATTAGTGCTATTGATAAAAATGCTTTGGGACTGATTTTCAAATTTTGTCTTGAATTTAAACCACCTGGAGACTGTCCTCAGCAGAGTCAGCAAAAGCACAGCTTTGAAAGAGGCGATCACTTTCTGTAAGAACCCAACAAAGCACAGCATTATGCAAGGAAACGTCAAATGTCTCTGGGAGGGGCTTGTACTTTAGCTTCCTTTGAGTCTTTAGGGCTACAATTCTGACTACAGATGTTTTCAATTTATGTTGTTTTTTTTTTTTTCTCATTAAATTGGCTAACAATTGTGATCATTCTGTATCTCCAGCCGCCTTTCATTATAGGATCTCTCATAACAGTTTCAACTGCTGGGAAAATTGTTCACATTACCAGTACAGTTCTACCTTTCTCTATTTATTACCACTTGAATCTGCATTTGTACTTCACATATATGCAGACAAATTTTCTGCCATATCAATGGCATTTAACCATAACTGCTTATATGCATATGCTTTTGGTATGCACTCTTTAAAATGAGGTGAATCATATTCTTTGATTAAAATTAAATGCATCTGTGAGGTGAAGGCAGGAAGATCACTTGAGGCCAGGAGTTTGAGATCAGCCTGGCCAACATGGTGAAACCCTGTCTCTACTAAAAATACAAAAATTAGCTGGGCATGGTGGTGCACACCTGTAATCCCAGCTACTCAGGAGGCTGACACAGGAGACTTACTTGAACCCAGGACCCAGAGGTGGCAGTGAGGCAAGATCACACCACTGCTGTTTAACCTGGGCAACAGAGCAAGACTCTGTCTCAAAAGAAGATATACAAATGACCGAGAAACATAGGAAAAAATGCTCACCATCACTAATGATTAAAGAAATGCAAATCAAAACCACAATGCAATACCATCTAACTCATGCAAGAAATGGCCATAATCAAAAAATCAAAAAATAATAGATGTTGGCGTGGACATGATCAGGAACACTTCTACACTGCTGGAGGGAATGTAAACTAGTACAACCACTGGTGGAATACAGTGTGGAGATTCCTTAAAGGACTAAAAGTAGAATTACCATTTGATTCACCAATCCCACTACTTGGTATCTACCTAGAGGAAAAGAAGTCATTACACCAAATAGATACTTACATGCGCATGTTTATAGTGGCACAATTTGCAATTACAAAAATGTGGAAACAACCCAAATGCCCATCAATCAACACAGTTTCTTTATTCACTCGTTGATATATATATATATATATATATATATATATATATATATATATATGAGATATATATATGATGGAATACTACTCAGCTATAAAAAGGAATGAATTAATGGCATTCACAGCAATGTGGATGAGTTGGAGACTATTATTCTAAGAGAAGTAACTCATGAATGGAAAACCACACATTGTATGTTCTTACTCATAAGTGAGAGCTAAGCTATGAGGATGCAAAGGCATAGCAATGACACAGTGGACGTTGGGGAATCGGGGGAAAGAGTGGAAAGGGAGTGAGCTATAAAAGACTACAAATTGGGTGCAGTGTATACTGCTCGGGTGCTGGGTGCACCAAAATCTCAGCAATCACCACTAAAGAAGTTACTCATGTAACTAAACACCATCTGTTCCCCAATAACCTATGGAAATACAAAATTTAAAAAAAAAAGAAAAAGAAAATCAAAATAAATGCAATCTTCAGGGCATTTTTTATCCTGTAAGATAGTCACATATGAACGAAATATCATTTGAGGTTTTTGTTGATAGCATCAAAATAAAATCCAGCAGAGAATTATGAGCAAATTTTTATAGGATTTTGCTAAATTTTTACAGTTTTATCTCTAGAGCTCCTTATTATGTCTCACTAATGCTTTTGTCTAGTTCAATTTTCAAATAGAATTTTCATTTTCTTTCATATTTCATTCTGTTGGTTTTATTGAGTTTAGTCATTAAAGTATAAAAATGAGAATAAGAGATGCATTATAGCATTAGACATGGCTTCAAGCTCTCTTTTCTGACTTCACAGTTACCTCTAACATCCGAGGTTTAGAATTCTATGACTAAAAAGTAATATTCCTATAATATATATTCCTCCTTCACTCTTTTCCTCTTGAACATCAGCATTCTCCAGTCGTCTGTTCCGGGCTCACTAGTCTCCACTTTTGTGAATGATTGCACTCACACTGAAATCTCAAACAATTACTGGATGTGATGGCTCATCTATCCTTATGTATAACCCTGTCTATCTCAAGCTAGATGCCCCATGGACATAGAACACATGTCCTCAAGGCTGCCCCCTTTGCTAGTCCCCATCTCAGTACATGCCAGCACCTTCCTTCCAGCTACCTAAGCCAGAAATTTGGAAATAATCTTAAAATCTTGGTTCCTCATCCTCACTCTTTCATCAGATTGCGTTGATGCTTTTTCTTAAATATCTCTCAAATCATCTCTCTCCATGTGCAGTGACATGAACTGCTCTTTCCTGCTTTTTTTATACATTGTTCGACTAATCTTTCTCTTTTCAGTCTTACTCACATTAAAAATTCTTCCTTCAGTATTGCTGCCAAGGTGATCTTTCTAACATGCAAATCACAACGTGTCTTACTTGCCAAAACACTTCAATATTTTGCAGTGAAACTTCTATTGGTATTTTGGGTGGTTCAGATTTTGTTCTAAGGGATTGGCCTACATACAAGAATTTCAACATCCTGGGCTCATCTACAAAATGCCTAAAATATTCCCCAATCTTTATTACAACCACTAACACCCCCCTCACACATTTCCAAGGGTACTCTAGAGGGTATGGTTACACACCCAGCTAAGAACCACAGATACTTTCCTTAAAACACCTTCAAAATAATTTTCAATCTCTTTATTTCTACACACAAGTCCCTTTATGAAACCTCAACCTGCTTCTCTAACTTCATCTCCCACTAACCCCTTGTGTGCAATCTATTACAGAAACTGCCCACTAGGGGCTCCCCAGGCAAGACCATGACTTTTAGGAACTCCATGCCTTGATCTATGTTGTTCTTTGTGTCTTACCTTCCCTCACTGCTCAAGACGCTGTCTTTAACCCTCAAGACACTGTCTTTCTTTAACCCTCAAGACTCATTAAGAAAGAGTGTATTCCAGCTACTCTTCCTTGCTTCCTCTCCTCTCCAAATTCCAGCCTAGCTTGAATTTGGCTAGGTCCCATGCTTCCCATGTACAAACCTAATTAACATTAGTTATCACCATGTATTTATTCAGCTTAGTTGGTATGTTGGTCTGTTTTACCCACTAAATAGTATAAACAGCATATAAAGCATGGAGTGATTTCCTGTACCATGTGCTGGGTAATAATTTTACATTCCAAAGCAAAAATACCAGTATCTGACATGAAATCCACATGAAAAGCATGTACCCACAATAGATTCTTAGTCTGTAGTGTAAATAATCTGGCACCATTGTGAAATTGTTTTTGTCATGTTAATTTTTAAGTTCTATTCTCTTATATTTATTATATTTACATTTCTGGAGCTGTTTTGTCTTTTGTTGTTTTTTGTTTTACAAATAATGTTTTAAGTTACTTGTCATCAGGTAAAATCAACAGCCCAGAGGACATCCTAGTGTGTACTACTCTATCCTCAACCTCTGGCTCACTTTTGGGCCTACTACCTTCTCACATTTATGGGAACTGTGAATAAACCAATTAGAGAAAATGACTTTAACTATTCTTTCCACTTTCCAGGGGAAAAAACAGGGGGAAAAAGTGTATGTGACTGTTTTTCTGCATCTTCTTTGACACTTAATAGTATCAGGTATTTTAATGTTTGTCCAATTCTGATAGAATTCAATATCTTATTGTTTCTGTTGCATTTTTATTTCTAATGATATTAAATATCTTCCACATTTATCAGTTTTTATATTGTGGCTTTTGTAAATTACCTGTATAGGACTATGCATATTTTGGAGGTTTTTACAGAAACTGTATTAAACCATTTCTGTAATATATATTACATAAATTTTCCCAATTTGAACATGCTTTGAAGCATACTACTGACAGTTTTATAATATAGTTTTCTTTTTTTTTATGGTAGGATCTCACTGTCTTGCCAGGGCTAGCCTTGAACTCCTGGACTCAAGTGATCCTCCCACCTCAGACTACTGAACAGCTGGGACAACAAGTGATTAGCATTGTGCCTGGTTATAATACAGATTTAAGATGTATTATAGAATCTGATCTTTCATCATTTTATTATTTATATATTTTTTTCATTTCCATTCCAGGATTATTCAACTACTCAATAATTTTTATGCAAACATATTTAGAGGTTTTAAAAACTGAACAACCTGCTCCTGAATGACTACTGGGTGCATAACGAAATGAAGGCAGAAATAAAGATGTTCTTTGAAACCAACGAGAACAAAGACACAACATACCAGAATCTCTGGGACGCATTCAAAGCAGTGTGTAGAGGGAAATTTATACCACTAAATGCCCACAAGAGAAAGCAGGAAAGATCCAAAATTGACACCCTAACATCACAATTAAAAGAACTAGAAAAGCAAGAGCAAACACGTTCAAAAGCTAGCAGAAGGCAAGAAATAACTAAAATCAGAGCAGAACTCAAGGAAATAGAGACACAAAAAACCCTTCAAAAAATTAATGAGTCCAGGAGCTGGTTTTTTGAAAGGATCAACAAAATTGATAGACCGCTAGCAAGACTAATAAAGAAAAAAAGAGAGAAGAATCAAATAGACACAATAAAAAATGATAAAGGGGATATCACCACCGATCCCACAGAAATACAAACTACCATCAGAGAATACTACAAACACCTCTATGCAAATAAACTAGAAAATCTAGAAGAAATGGATAAATTCCTCGACACATACACTCTCCCAAGACTAAACCAGGAAGAAGTTGAATCTCTTAATAGACCAATAACAGGAGCTGAAATTGTGGCAATAATCAATAGCTTACCAACCAAAAAGAGTCCAGGACCAGATGGATTCACAGCCGAATTCTACCAGAGGTACAAGGAGGAACTGGTACCATTCCTTCTGAAACTATTCCAATCAATAGAAAAAGAGGGAATCCTCCCTAACTCATTTTATGAGGCCAGCATCATTCTGATACCAAAGCCGGGCAGAGACACAACAAAAAAAGAGAATTTTAGACCAATATCCTTGATGAACATTGATGCAAAAATCCTCAATAAAATACTGGCAAAACGAATCCAGCAGCACATCAAAAAGCTTATCCACCATGATCAAGTGGGCTTCATCCCTGGGATGCAAGGCTGGTTCAATATACACAAATCAATAAATGTAGTCCAGCATATAAACAGAGCCAAAGACAAAAACCACATGATTATCTCAATAGATGCAGAAAAAACCTTTGACAAAACTCAACAACCCTTCATGCTAAAAACTCTCCATAAATTAGGTATTGATGGGACGTATTTCAAAATAATAAGAGCTATCTATGACAAACCCACAGCCAATATCATACTGAATGGGCAAAAACTGGAAGCATTCCCTTTGAAAACTGGCACAAGACAGGGATGCCCTCTCTCACCACACCTATTCAACATAGTGTTGGAAGTTCTGGCCAGGGCAATTAGGCAGGAGAAGGAAATAAGGGGTATTCAATTAGGAAAAGAGGAAGTCAAATTGTCCCTGTTTGCAGATGACATGATTGTATATCTAGAAAACCCCATTGTCTCAGCCCAAAATCTCCTTAAGCTGATAAGCAACTTCAGCAAAGTCTCAGGATACAAAATCAATGTACAAAAATCACAAGCATTCTTATACACCATCAACAGACAAACAGAGAGCCAAATCATGAGTGAACTCCCATTCACAATTGCTTCAAAGAGAATAAAATACCTAGGAATCCAACTTACAAGGGATGTGAAGGACCTCTTCAAGGAGAACTACAAACCACTGCTCAAGGAAATAAAAGAGGATACAAACAAATGGAAGAACATTCCATGCTCATGGGTAGGAAGAATCAATATCGTGAAAATGGCCATACTGCCCAAGGTAATTTACAGATTCAATGCCATCCCCATCAAGCTACCAATGACTTTCTTCACAGAATTGGAAAAAACTACTTTAAAGTTCATATGGAACCAAAAAAGAGCCCGCATCGCCAAGTCAATCCTAAGCCAAAAGAACAAAGCTGGAGGCATCACACTACCTGACTTCAAACTATACTACAAGGCTACAGTAACCAAAACAGCATGGTACTGGTACCAAAACAGAGATATAGATCAATGGAACAGAACAGAGCCCTCAGAAATAACGCCGCATACCTACAACTGTCTGATCTTTGACAAACCTGAGAAAAGCAAGCAATGGGGAAAGGATTCCCTATTTAATAAATGGTGCTGGGAAAACTGGCTAGCCATATGTAGAAAGCTGAAACTGGATCCCTTCCTTACACCTTATACAAAAATCAATTCAAGATGGATTAAAGATTTAAACGTTAGACCTAAAACCATAAAAACCCTAGAAGAAAACCTAGGCATTACCATTCAGGACATAGGCATGGGCAAGGACTTCATGTCCAAAACACCAAAAGCAATGGCAACAAAAGACAAAATTGACAAATGGGATCTAATTAAACTAAAGAGCTTCTGCACAGCAAAAGAAACTACCATCAGAGTGAACAGGCAACCTACAAAATGGGAGAAAATTTTCGCAACCTACTCATCTGACAAAGGGCTAATATCCAGAATCTACAATGAACTCCAACAAATTTACAAGAAAAAAACAAACAACCCCATCAAAAAGTGGGCGAAGGACATGAACAGACACTTCTCAAAAGAAGACATTTATGCAGCCAAAAAACACATGAAAAAATGCTCATCATCACTGCCATCAGAGAAATGCAAATCAAAACCACTATGAGATACCATCTCACACCAGTTAGAATGGCAATCATTAAAAAGTCAGGAAACAACAGGTGCTGGAGAGGATGTGGAGAAATAGGAACACTTTAACACTGTTGGTGGGACTATAAACTAGTTCAACCATTGTGGAAGTCAGTGTGGCGATTCCTCAGGGATCTAGAACTAGAAATACCATTTGACCCAGCCATCCCATTACTGGGTATATACCCAAATGACTATAAATCATGCTGCTATAAAGACACATGCACACGTATGTTTATTGCAGCATTATTCACAATAGCAAAGACTTGGAACCAACCCAAATGTCCAACAATGATAGACTGGATTAAGAAAATGTGGCACATATACACCATGGAATACTATGCAGCCATAAAAAATGATGAGTTCATGTCCTTTGTAGGGACATGGATGAAATTGGAAATCATCATTCTCAGTAAACTATCGCAAGAACAAAAAACCAAACACCACATATTCTCACTCATAGGTGGGAATTGAACAATGAGATCACATGGACACAGGAAGGGGAATATCACACTCTGGGGACTGTGGTGGGGTGGGGGGAGGGGGGAGGGATAGCATTGGGAGATATACCTAATGCTAGATGACGAGTTAGTGGGTGCAGTGCACCAGCATGGCACATGTATACATATGTAACTAACCTGCACAATGTGCACATGTACCCTAAAACTTAAAGTATAATAAAAAAAAAATAAAAAAAAAAATAAAAATAAAAATTAAATTAGTTCATTTGGGAACTGTTTTGGTATAAGAATTAAAGAAAGAAACATGCTTTCAAATGATAAATAGTTATAAATTTACTTTAATAGCATTTACTGGAAAAATGGGAATTTTTTTCTATATTAATTATAATACAGGTACATAGATTCATTTCTAAATATTTTTTGTTCCCTATGACTGGTAGCTTTTTATTATTTTTAAATATTTACTTGGGCCAGGGCCCACCTTTATTCACCACTTCTGTTTTGGAGGGGATTTTCTAATCACTTTTCTAGCAAATTTTTTATTCCAATGAGCTTTAGAATAGTTTTGTCAAGTTTTCTGTTTTTATGATCTTATAGGGATTTTCAGTGGGAGTATTTATTAATTTAGGAAAAAAATTACATTTTTCAAATATTGAGCTTCCCTATGTTAAGGTAGGTTTAGCCCTAATTTTAATTTACATGTCTCAGTCAAGTGTTATGGATTTTTTCAATCACGTTCTGTAAATTTCTTGTCACGTTTAGGTATACGTTGTATGTTGCTATTGTTACTGGATAATAATCCCTTCTTCAATTGTGTTTCTGTCCAGTAGTACTAATAGAAACAGTAACATAATATAATGGTAATAATGATGTATGCTTCACACTAGTACAGAAATCAAGTATGATTACTCTCTGAATGTATTTTTCCAGTTACACATAGTATACAATTTTTCATCATTCAATGAATGTATGTTGAGCATGCACAAATACTAAGAAAATTTTTAGATCCTGTGTAAACAATCCATGCCTTTGTAACAAATACAATTAATAGAAAAGACTGACACCTACCAAATAATCACACCCTTTATAAAACATTCTAATTTGTGCTATAAATATAAATATTTATAAGAAGAAATACAGCGTGCCAAGAAAATTTAACAGGGACTATCTTACCTGAGTTGTGGTGAGGAGTGAGGAGCCTAGTAAAGATTTTGTGAGGATGAGGCATTGAGAAGAGTTCTGAAAGGTAAATACAAGTAAACTGGGCAAAGAGAATACACATACAAATGGTTTTCAGCAGGACAGGGAATCTAGAAGCTTTTAGAAAATGGACAAAATCCCATGTGAGTGGAGCACAGAGTAACGGAGATAGTGGTGTAAGGAAGCCTGGGAAGAAGGCAGGAGTCAGGTCATGCCAGTACCTCATAGTTTGAAGATTTTTGTCTTTATCCTAGAAGTTACCACTGAAGCTTTTTATAATAAGATGAGTGCGTGTGTGTTGTGTTAGCTAGGGTGGCGGGGGGGAGTGGGAGGTGACATATTCAGATTTTTATTTCAAATTGATTTCTCTGGCTGTAGTGAGAAGAATGGATCAGAAGAGGGAAAGAGTGCATGCCTGAAAACCTGTCAGAGGCTATTGAAAAAGCTCAGGCGAGACATAATATTCATGTGGACAAGGATAACGGCAGTGGAGATCAAGAGAAGGATATGACCTTAGGGAATATTTAGGGGGCAGAATTAGAAATATTTAAGAAGGACAGTACTCTGGCATGGTCTGAGAGAGAGAGAGAGAGGTGACAAAAATGACTCTCGGGTTTCTGGCCTGCCTAAATGGATGGATAATGACGCTGCTGTCTTTTTTTAAATTTCTGTTAATTTTGAGAATTTTCATTTGTATTTTTTAAATAAATCAACAATAAATGTATGCCACCATCCTCCCCAAATGTAGATTATTTCACTTTTTATAGTGTAGAATTTGAGGTGTCTATGGGACATGAAAGTAAAGAAATCCACTGACAGGTCTAATATATAGGCAAGAAATTTGAGAGCTTTGGAATGGTCTGGGCAGGCTTTTATTGGTAGCATTCCCAAAATCCAAATAAGAACTGTTATTTCTATAGTTGGAAATTGTTAGTGTTTGTGACTTAATAGTATTACCACATATTTCTGATTCATCTATATGAACTTATATAATCTTATAGTTTGGACTTGGAAGTCAAACAAAACTCACACATGTATTTAGGCATATAAATACTCAAATTTAAGATATACAGGTCAAAATATAACCAGTTTAGGGGAAAATGATGTTGTAAACTAAATATTGAGAATGAAACTGAAAACAATTAGGCTAAATTCATATGTGATACACTTTGAGACATATGTTTTATTATTACAGTTTATTCAGTCATGAAAAATCTATTGCTTGCCCTTTTTATCAATAATACTACTCTGACATTTTTAAGGGCAGAGGCAGTGATAATTGGTGTCATGTTGCCTTTGTGGGTAATGTTGTAGATAGATTTTCATTTATAAGCCAGTACATACATGATAGAAGGTATCCGTTGTATCTTTTAAACAAATGGCAAACAAAGTATACCACCACATCTCCTTTTCACTATTGGAAATGAAATAGATCTAATATGGTCAAAGGAATTTCACAAAACAAAAACCACTGACATGACAAAAGCGTGCATTTAATTTGATGCTTTGCAGAGATACATGACCAAAGTTGTATGCATGGCTTGTCTTTTGGGATGGTCCCAGCTGTTTATTTTAAAAGAAAAAAATTAAAATAGAGCCAACAAATGCAATTAAGAAAAAAAAAGTATTGAGACACAAGGGGACCTACATGTTCTGGTCTAAGAAGCATGCAAGTATTACAAAGCATTCCAGATACAGTATGACAGAGGAACAGTGAACAAGCATTGGAACGATGCTCTTTCTTTCAGAAACGGGAAGTCTAACAGTTATGTTTTCACAATGGTAGTGATTAAACCATCTTTATTTTTAAGGAATTTTATAGGAAGAATTTTAGCACCATCATTAAAGGAAAAATAATAATACCTTTTTAGCCCTGCCTATCTCCAGTCTTGGAATAATAACAGAAGCATAGCACCTTTCAGTATCTAAAATATAAACAAGAATAGTAAGTCCATCCCAGCTTCTAGAGATGAGGTAGCTCATGCTAAGAAATGTTGGGTCATTTTTCCTATGAAAGTTCAAAGGCCAAATGGTCTAATTCCAATCATCACATTTGATTAGAGTCAGCTCCACAACTCAGTTTCTAGATCTTTTTCTTCATTATAGGCTTCAGGATGATGAGATTGTACATGTGGAAGAGTCTCAATTTAGAGTCCTTGGACATATGTTTGTAAAGTTC
Source organism: Homo sapiens (assembly GCF_000001405.40). Classification (NCBI taxonomy): domain Eukaryota; kingdom Metazoa; phylum Chordata; class Mammalia; order Primates; family Hominidae; genus Homo; species Homo sapiens. The sequence goes on from NC_000002.12 coordinate 189,033,221, forward strand.
TATATGTCAATTATTTTGCATTCAATATCTTCTTAAATAAGAAAGTGTAAATGTATTAAATGGTATATACTAGTGTGACTTCTATCAATATTGATAGATTGATCAAGAGGAGAAAGATATCTTTAAATTTGAATGAGAAAGATGTCTAAACTTATAGTCTTTTACAAAAATTTAAGAAGTCGAAGTAAATTCACTTTGTTCTCCAAAATGCCACTGAATATATACTATTTAAAAATTCTATTTAAGACAGTGAGAAACGTTTTTTTTTTTTTAAGATTCTCCTTAAAGAGTCTCTATTATAGTTACACAATATCAAGACATGCATGTAGGTCTCGATCACAAGTTAAACATTTTAAACTCATTTTTAATTGACAATCTTGGAATGAGAGGTCACAAAAGGGCACTAATTTCTATTTTTCAACTGCAGCCAAGCAAAATAAACATGTGTTGTGGCTCTATATACCCCACTCTTTAAGCTACCTGCCAGGAAGAAGAATTTCCTCATAAATACTAAGCAACTTTTTCATTACACTGAAATAAATTGAAGAAAACGGAGATTTATTTATTCAATCAGTTTACTTTCTGCAAAGGTGGTCATTGTCATTGGTCATCTTAAACCTAAACTGTTGTATTGAAAAATATTTAAAATCAATTAAAACTTGAGGATTGTAAGTAAAATAAATATTCTGAAGGATAAGGAGGCCAGGCACTTAAGACCATATATACAATGCTGATGCAGGATCAGCCATTACTTCAAGAGTCTCAGGATCAACTTCAAACAGTCAAAGTTCTTGTGAATGGCGGTGGTCATTGATGGTGGTGCTCATTGTCGATGTGTCTTGGCTTACTTTACACAAAACAAACTGGCCCAATTTCAACGCCGAATTCCTGGTCTGTGCCGCCAACATCCACAGGAGCAAGATCTATGATGGGCAAGCGTGCCACATTCTGTGTTCTATATTCAAAGACAGTCTTGCCCACATTTCCATTCCGCTTCTGAAATTAAATGATGCAATGGGTTAAATGTACATACAATTTTTTCCAAGTATGTTAGACAGCAACCTTCCCAGACACTTTTATAATGTAAAGGCAATGATTTTTAGAGTACTACTTAAAAAAAAGGAATGAAAACATAAAGTGAAATATTAGTGTACTTATGTAACAGAATTTCTTTCATGCTTTAAGTAAATTTCCTTTGTTCTTCTGCAGCTTCCCAAATGGTCACTAGCAACATAAATTATGAAAGCTTTTTTGTTTTTCACAAATGAAACTATAATTCACCATTTAGTATTATTTTCGTTTTATATCTCAATATGCAAGCGGGGAGACTTACTTACAAATTGGTGGAAAAAATAAAGTATCTTGGATTAATTACGCATTTTAGAAATAAGGAATTTTAAGCATGGGACTGAGATTCAGTAAGTTAAATAACTTGGAAAAGAACCAAAGAAAGTCTGCAGAAGAACTGGATCAGATCTTAGGGATCCAGTTCTTTCTTTACTATATGGATTCAAACCTCTATCATGCTTCATGTGCTAACACACACACATTTACCCTAAGGAATGACTATAAACAAACTGCTATTATGCTCATATACAAGGTAAAATTGCCCCCAGTTCTAGTGCTGTAATAGTATTTTTAACAAAAATAATTTTTTTTCCTCAACCAGATCAATGTAGATCAAAAAGTACTTACAGAGCAAGTGTCTTGAAGAACGATATACCGGAATCTAATATTTCCCTCTGCTTTGATATCTAAGTCATTTGCCCCTTTGAGAACCACAGCTTTTTTGAGGTTCTTAGCTTGATCGTCCATGTATCCTACACTGTTTTTACAGATGTAAGTGATGTTCTGGGAGGCTTCTTTTGATAAAAGGCGCAAAAAAGTCATCTGAGTAATGGCTGTATTAGGTGATTGGTGGTCTCCATAAGCGAACTAGAAAAACAAAGAGTCTTTGTCATACACAAGACTGAAGGGTTTCATAATGCCTTACACATGTATAGATAAATATATAAATTGATTTCAGATAAATCAATTTTGAAGAGTATTACTTTAATTCTTGTCATAAAGTAAGCTATTCTAGCTGTACATCTAAACATATCTTAAAATGTCTATGAATACTCAAAAGAACCTCTGTCCTTATTAACCCAAAGGGTAATGAAACCAATAATAACAATAATTCACGAGAACAAGCATAAGTATTTTTAAATCTGCTTCACTCATGTATCAAAAATAACTCATTTTTATTGCTAATTATAATAAAAATTAGAATTAACTAGTAGTATAAAATCTTTTGACCCCAACTATTACACAATTGTAGGAAATACATATTAAAAGTTTTCCATGTGCTAACAAAAATAATCAAAAAAATTTTTCTAGAGACTCTTTCCTACTCACCTTCTACTTTAGCTTTGGTTTCAGCACTCCCATTTGGGGGTTTTATTTTACATATTATATTAGCTAAATTATATTTCAACTATTTATATTTAAAATTTAAAATTTTGTGCTCATTAAATAATGACAGATACTAGCTTATCTTGTATACACCCATAATGTTCTCATAATGTTTATTCTGAACGTGATTTCTAGGAAAAGGTCAGAAGCAGAAGTGAGAAGAAAATTTCAATTAGGCTGCCATAAAGAGATGCAGAATGAAATATTCACATTGCAACAGGCAGTGGAAAGGCCAGACAGTTGTCTGAACACCAGACCATGATAGAAACAGGGTAGACTGGGACTCAGAAAAATATCAATTGACTTCATAACATTACAAAAATGCCTTAAGTTTAAATAATATTAAAAATTTTACAAAATGATTCAATTATTTAGACATTATTATAGTAGTTATCTAATATTAATTTACCATCTATCCCATAGTACAAGAGACCCTAAACTAAGAATTTTATATCCACATGGAAACTATGGAATAAATATTATCACCCTTACTTTAAACTGGCAAAACTGAGTCTCCAAAAAGTTCAGAGACTTTATAAGGCCCCAAAGTCAGTACAAGATCCCCGTGAGGTAACCAGGTCTGCTGAAGCTGAATATACAGAAATAACTGTTTATCAACTATGGCACTATAGTTTATCACTTCTGGTACACTCCATAGTCCATGTCACATACATTAGAGGAACTTACAGTAAAAATAATTACTTTTCTATATTTCATCCATGAGAAAATTTTTAATTCAAAATTTATGTTAACTTCACTCATAGCAAAACCTTGTTTATGCAATGGTATTACAATTGTAACTAATGAGACTATATCACTTCAAAATAAACATGGTAAAATAAGCCTGGTTTAAAAAAATAGCAAAGTCCTAAATAAATCAAAAATATGTAATAAGTAGTAAAAAGTAAAGAATACAATTTTAAGTAAACATATTAAATTACCTGAGACCCTCTGTTCATATCAAGACCATACCAAACAGGTTTATTGTCAGGAGATTTACTGGCCCACCAGGTTTTACGTGGTACACTGGATGGGTTTGCTGAAATACATGTTTCTCCTGTTTCCATGTTGCAGTAAACTTTGATTGCATCTTCAACAGATCCTTGGTTAGGATCAATCCAGTATTCACCTATTTTTCAAAATAGAAATTTTACTAAATAAAGACAATCTCAATCATGACTATAAGTCTCCAAAAGAATTAACAGAGGGTTTGAAAATATACACTCACTGATTAAGGATTCTTTTAAGTGAGAGTGCCCCTTACGAAAAAAGTAACCGGTATGCATTGGGGGCCTTTCTACATTCTAGTCGCTATTGTAAGGCACTTTGCCAAACCATGTACTTAAGGCTCAAAACATCCATATGAAGGAAATATCATTACCCCCATTTTATAGATGAGAAAACCATACCGAAAAGAGAAAATCTATAGTAAGCGGCTTTACCAAAATAGATGTGTTTCCAATATTTTAAAGCAAATTAGAATGAGTGTAACAAAATAATGTAAATAATGTAATAAAATAATGTAACATCAAAACTATGAGTAAAGTGAATAAATAAGTTGAATTACAATTAGAATGCTATGAATCATTTCATTAGATCTTTTTAAAATTACTCTTCTCATATATAAGAGACTCTTAAAATAGGAAATACCAAGGCAGTGCCTGGTGGTAGGCATACAGTCAAATACACAATTTAATATGCATTTGCATACATGGGTGTGTGTATACATATATTTGTGTGTATATTATATAAATAGTATGTGAGAATTGCATTTTAAATGAAAGTGTCGGAATGTAATGTATAGAGTTAATAAAATTGCCCTTTCTTCAATGATAATAATTTTAGCTATTCCTGTCAATGTCATTTCAAAGTTAACTTAAATTCTTAGGCTCTTTGTAGCTCATTTGTCTCCTGTGACTTAGGATCCCTCTTCTCTAGGTCATATTGGATTAATTAAAATGACAGAATAAGGTAAACTTTAAGCCTGGTACATGCAACTAGGGCAGAACAACTATTTGATTCCAAAATGTCTTGGAACCTCATAATAATATAATCCTGCCAGCAGAGATTCCAAAAGTATGACTCATAGAACATTAAACTACATGAAAGGAATTACATATTTAAATGTGGGAAATATATGCTTGATGATCCAGCAATATGTTAACATTAAGACACTTATAGGTCATGCAAGTAAATAAATATTTTGAACAATACTTAAGCAAGCATTTTCCACATTTCCACGAAATGCTTTTATTCCACAAAAATATCAATATTTTAAGATTTCTGGATGAAAATGGAACTACCATCATGAAACTGGATTATTAATAGGATATATCATCTATTATAGTACATTTTTTTTAAAGTTAACATTTATTTTAAATACAAGGGGTACCTGTGCAGATTTGTTACATGGGGATATTGTATGATGCTGAGGTTTGGGGTACAGATCCTGTCACCCAGGTAGTGAGCATAGTATCCAATAGGTAATTTCTCAACCCTTGCTCCCATCCACACCCTCCCCCCTGTAGTAGCCTGCAGTGTTTATGGTTTCATATTTATGTCCATGTGTGCTCATTAGCTCTTACTTATAAATGAGAACATATGATATTTGGTTTTCTGTTCCTGTATTAATTTGCTTAGGATTATGGTTTCCCGCTGCATCCATGTTGCTGCAAAGGACATGATTTCATTCTTTTTTATGGCCACATAATGTTCCATCATATATATGTACCACATTTTCTTTATCCAATCTACCATTGATGGGCATCTGGGTCAATTTCATGTCTTTGCTACTGTGAATAGCACAGTGATGAATACATGAATTCATGGGTCTTTTTGGTAGAACGATTTATTTTCCTTTGGGATATACCAAATCACAGGATTGCTGGGTCAAATGGTAGCTCTGCTTTAAGTTCTTTGAGAAATCTCCAGCTGCTTTCCACAGTGGCTGAACTAATTTACATTCCCACCAATAAGTGTATAAGCATTCCCTTTTCTCCAAAGCCTTGTCAGTATCTGTTTTGTGACTTTTTTATTTTTTTGAGACACAGTCTCGCTCTGTCGCCCAGGCAGTGGCGCGATCTCAACTCACTGCAAGCTCCGGCTCCTGGGTTCATGCCACTCTCCTGCCTCAGCCTCCCGAGTAGCTGGAACTACAGGCACCCGCCACCACGCCTGACTAATTTTCTGTATTTTTAGTAGAGACGGGGTTTCACCATGTTAGCCAGGATGGTCTTGATCTCCTGACCTCATGATTAGCCCACCTCGGCCTCCCAAAGTGCTGGGATTACAGGCGTGAGACACCGCACCTGGCCTGTTTTGTGACTTTTTAATGACAGCCATACTGACTCGTGTGAGATGGTATCTCACTATGGCTTTGATTTTCATTTCTCTAATAATTAGTGATGCTGAGCATTTTTTTCATGTTTTCACAAAATTGACTGTTTCCACCATTAAATTATAAGCTCCATGATATGTTTACTATTTTTATCTCAAATCTATCACTAAGTAGAAAGTCAGTAACATATTTTGGAATGCAGTTGAGAATAAACAATCAGAAACAACGGGTTTTGCTCAAATGGGCTGCTGTCTACTCACCACTCTGCTTTGCGGAATGGCAAAGCTTTAGGTCATCACACGTGCGGGCTGGGTGCTTTTTCGAGCCATCGGGGCTGCGCATGGTTTCAATCTGACTACTGAGTGACTTCAGGGTAGCATGAACCCCTGGGTCCGTTTTGTTTTTGTCATCAGGAGCCGCCTGATCTTCAGTAAACTCAGGAAGTGGATCTGGCATGCTTTCATCATAGTGCCCCATGATATCCCCAAGAGCAGCTGTAAGGTGGCCAGGGGGACCCGGAGGGCCAGGTGGGCCAGGCTCACCAGGAGGGCCCTAATTAAAAAGAGATTGGAAAGACATTTAACACATTGTTTTTGTTTTACTTAACTGGTAGAACTTGGTTCATAGGGAGTTCCAATGAGACACTCCAATTTGACAGTAAAGGGAGATCTATGACTCGCGCCCTTTTGTAACTAGATGGGGGTGGTCTAACAGGCTGTAACATTCAAGGATGAGAAATGATGCTCAATCATTTTTCAGGAAACATATCTTCAAGTCAGCATCCAAGATAAATAAAGATCAAAGCACAAAATATTTGCTCAGGTGTTTACCTTGAAGATACAACATATTTTATGTTAATAGCATGCAGATATGTATGTTCATTTGCAAACTATTTTCGTCAAGGTACAACCAAAATGTTTTAAAATTATTTTTGGATGAAGCTGAACAAAGCATGCAGGGGAATAGTGGCTGCTGGTTCTATAAGATTACATGTCAATAACAAGAAAATACCCACAGGAAACACCCACAAGAGAATTATACTCCTACTTCTAAAAGAGAGGGAGAGAAACACAGGAAGTCCTTTTATGTGCATTAATTCCTGTACAGATAAAAATTCTCTGTCCTAAGAAAAACTGAAGAAATAGTATTGGTTTTTAGAGACAGGGTCTTGCTACTATGTTGCCCAAGTTGGATTCAAACTGCTGGGCTCAAGCAATCCTCCCACCTTCACCTCCTGAATAGCTAGAATTACAGGTGTGTGCCAAGGTGCCCAGTATTCCTAGCCTTAGCCTTTGAATTGACATAAATAAAGAGCCCTCCTGCCTTTTTTTTTTTTTTTTGCCAAATAAGACACACTGAAATGAGAGGGAGATAAGCACAAAAAGTGGCAGAGACTACGAAATGGATCCTCTCTATTAATTCCCTTCTGCACTTCCCCAAGGAAGAACTCAGCAACTTGAAAGAACCAGGTGACAACCTGAAGAGACACATAGTCCACATCTCATGTAGAGAGCAAGATCTGGGAGCAAGAACTCTCCAGAAGGCTGGAGTTCTACTATTGGCTCTGCCACTTGTTATATGGCTCCAGACAAGTTGCTTTTACCTTCAGTGCCAATGTTTCCTCACTCTCAAAGGGCTGTTACATAATTTTTTTTTCTTCCTGTCTCTAAGGTCATATACTGAGTTCATGCGTTCCTTTATACTAATTTTAAGAGAAAAGAAAAGACTTTTTTCTAATATATCAAGGCCCACTGAATCACAAAGTCAATCAACAGCCACATAAGCTGAAGGTATTCCAATTTTCTAGCTGTTTCCTATTCACAATTAGAGAAATAAATGAGTAGAAAACATATCTCTTGTCCATAGGAAATATAAGACTATTTGATCCACATAAGAAGTAAATATCTGGCTTAACAGTATTGCTATGAAGGGCAAAGGAAAAGTAAGGAAGAGAAGGTAAAGACCAATGAGGAAGAAACACCAGAGAGAGAAGCATAAGCTCATATACAAACACGCACATGAGTACACCTGTGCATGGAAGATGTATGAAGATGTTTCCCAGACCTGAGAAGCAAGGATCTAACTAACATAGTATACAGCTTTGTATCATCCTCAAGTCAACACTACTGAAACTTTTTACAAAAAGTTTTAATCAAAGTCCTCCCTGAATGTTTTCAATGGAGAAAAACTTCAATTTCATACTCTTCATTGTCCAGCATTTCTATGGAGTTTTCATGAAGTAATAACTATACCTCACAGACATTTAAAATATTGCCCTTGAGAGCAAATCAACATTTTCATAACTTTAATTATAAATACAATTATAACTTGTTCTTTGCTCTTGTTAGTATCACATTATGTTAATGTCTGGGTAGGTTGGACTCTGATTTTATGTGCTCTAACTTATCTGTATTAAAATACTTGAAATAGTTACTTATACTCTTGTGTGACTTCTACGTTTGTTTTCGGGGTCCCTTAAGTCTCTTGTCAATCGGGCTGCACAGACATTTCTTGGACGGAATCTGAGCTATTGAATAAATAGCATTTCTTGCATGTAAACCTTTGTGACTTTACCTCAGGTCCTGCTTCTCCTACACTGCCTCGTACACCTGGAGGTCCAATTGGCCCAAGTGGCCCAGGGTTTCCTTCTTTACCTGAAGGACCAACTGGGCCTGGAGGACCCTGCAAGAAACAAAGACTGTAGTTTAGATTCTATGAAGGAAAAATTTTACAATGCCTTTCTCTAATCAAAGAACTATTTTACATATGGAGCTGTAACAGTGATTTCTAAGATTCATTTTCTTACTGATTAATAAATGAACTTCTGGTACTTTGTAACATTTATGATTTCATCACATAAGAATTTTCCATCATCCATGCATGGTAAAAGACAAATATGAGTTTACATCTTTAATGGACTAATCACCTACTTTTATTGGTAGTAACTTTCATTAAACCTCACATATTGTAAACTTAGAAATTCAATTAACTTGAAATAAGAAAATGACAGAAGTTGGAGTGTTTAAGTGAAATTTCTGTGCTTATGCCTCAGAATGCCATCATGTACTATTATTCTGAATTTTATGTATGCTTTGTTTACACTGTATTCAGATATACCAAGATTCTTTAAATTATTTTTTCTAATTTTTTCTACAAAATATTTTCTATTTTCCTAAATAATTATGTCCACCAATTGTCTTATGCCATCAATGACTTATTACAAGCAACATTAATACTAATGGAGAATTTCTAAAAGCTTCAAATATTGGCTTCATTTTATTATTTACTTCCAAATTAGCTTTATGTAAACTACTTCTGAGGAACTATCACTATTACTTAAAAGACAAAATATATTTAGCTTCAAAATCTGTCTCCACTTCATAGTAAATGCTATTACATCATCTCAAAAAGTGAAAGTTGAATAGAAATTTAAATTAACACAATGTAACAAAATGAACTAACAGAGGAATATATCCAAACCCTAGGTAATAAATTTTATTGCGGGCCCATGAGGTAATATATCATATTTCAAGATATTTCTACTTAAAATTAATTGCTAAATAGCTTGTCTCATATGTGTGTTGCCAACCTCAGAGAAGATGAGCCAACTCCAGCTTCAATACCAGGAAAACGATACTCAAGCATTAGCAGTACATCAACAAAGGCATTATTATTTACACCTGCAACTTACTACTTTTTGTTACTTACTCTTGGGCCAAATGGTCCAGGGATTCCAGCACTTCCTTGTTCACCATTTGGACCCTAAGTAGGAATACAATAAAAAATGTTGCCAAAATATTTGGATCCTGCATTGTGCCATTCTCAAAAATGTGCTATCATTGACTTTAGCAGCATGAACTACTTTGATAAAGTCACCAATCTCTGCAATGTCTACATGAGTTGACCAATGTTAAAGACACCTGTAGGAGTAACAGTGCATATAGCTTTTGCTTTATTTCTTCCCTACAAAATTATAGCTTATTATTGGCAATTATCACTTGTTATTCATCAAGATATTCTTTGAACTGAAAATAAGATACAAACATATCCACCTATTTTACAGACAGATAAATGTTCGTGTCAAGATACCCGTGTATTTTCAACTACAGGGCAGAATAATACTTAAAGGAATAACTTACAGGAGGGCCAGGAAGACCCTGAAGACCAGTAAAGCCTCTGTGGCCCTTCTGACCTCTGTCACCTCGGTCTCCATGATCACCTTTGTCACCACGAGGTCCTTGGGGTCCCTAGAAATAGAGATATGGCATGAAAATTACTTGCTACATATTATTGTTGAGACTAAAATTTACTAAAATTTTACTTTTTATAATTGTATTTACTACAATTTTGAACTTGGTATTTTATATGGATTAATATATTTACTTATCTAAAAATAGTATTAGACCTAGAAATTTCTGTTTATTTTTCCCAAAGAATGGTAGGTGATCACTGAAAAAAGATATAATAAGAATACTTTTCTGAAGATTTATTTTTTAAATGTTTATCTTACATTCATACTAAAATTAGATATTTTTGTTTGATCTAGCCTATCTGAAATGTTTTTTAAAGATTATGCTTCACATATTTAGTTGATATTATTATATAAAAATATTGCTACCATATATAGATTCTTTTAAATTAAAACATTTCATACTTGCCGTGTGTAACAATGAAATGATTTTAAATTTACATATGCAAATAAACTAGCTGGCTATGACAGCTGCAACTATATTAAGAAATTGGCAAAAACTTGCTTGAACAAATTAAACAGAAATATCATCTTTAAGCCACTTTCCTCTAAAGAACAAAGCAACTCTAAGTTATCCCATATCTGCAATATCTGTAACCAAATCCAGTGATCTTGATGCTAAGCTTGATCTACGGCTACAAAGAAAGCCGTAGTTAGGGATCTTATTTTGAGATAGAAGCTATACCCAGAGAAGAGGTGAAAATTATCTGATCAATCTCAGATGTTTTGTTATTGTTGGTGGTGGTGTTGGTTTTGTTTTGTTTTAAGTCCTGGGAAATTAAAAACAGCTCCAGGGAACGAGTGGTTCACAGTAAACTGACAAGTGGCATAGAGTCATCTACTATAGAACCGGATTCTGTTGCTTTTAGTGTTTTCCCAAAAGATAACTGAATCCCTATTTATCTGACTTTGGAAGATGACTGCAGTCATCAAATCAATTGGCTCTCAGGTTAATTTTTCCCTTATTGTTTTGATTTTGAATTTATATTTCCTAATTATCATACAGTATAGGAACCCATTTATAATAAAAAGAAGATGATTTCAGTAGCTTTTGCATATTTTATATAACAATATAAATTTAAATACTATCAAAATCAGCCTGAAGTTTTTCATAATGTTCGAAAGGTTCTTTTATTTGGGGGATGACCCAAAGTTTCATAATTAAAACTAAACTAAATCAGAAGGCACCTATTTGAATTATTAACTACAATGTATTTATTCATAGAAAACAAAATTACAATGTTTCTATAACTGCTCAAAACACTGTTCACTTGACATGCTATGCAACTATAAAATATTTGCCAGTCAAGCTCAAATTAAAGAGGAGAATTATTTAATAATATGGCCATGATTTTCAAAGTATAATTGTTCTTTTTGAGAACAGACATTGATTTACCTGATGGGCATGAAAAGCATATGACCTATTAGATTACACATGAGATGATTCATTCATGGTAAGACATCTATATAATAATGTTAACCTGAAAGTCACTGATTGCAAATAGCACAAAGATCAGAACATAGAAAGAAAAATCTAGTTGAAAATGAAACATAATATTTGAATAGTGCTTTTCAAGTTTACAGAGAGCTTTCAAATCCATTTTCCTATGTAGTTTTTAGAATAGCTCAGAGAGAAATGCACTATAATTCCTATTATTTTAGGAGAAACCTGTGACTTTAAAAACCTCCATGATTATTGATATAATTCATGGTTAAATTCAGAAGAATTGTGTTAAAATTATAAAAATAAACTCGTATTACTTTAAAAAATAAGAGTAAACTTATAATTTTTAATTAATATTTTTGTTCAAGCTTGAGGAATTTCATATTTTTCAGTTATGAATCTTAAATTATACTTCTTTGGGAGTATATTTTATATAAGAAAACATTTTTTAAAAAACAAAAAAAGAGAACTTACAGGTAATCCACGTTTCCCAGCTCGACCAGGTGGTCCTATAGGACCCCGAGAACCCTAAAAGAAATTTACAACAAAAAAAATTGGCATGTAAAAAAGATATTCACATATTACATAGATACAGGATGTCAACAATACGTTTATAGTTGGATGCATATATATATATGTGTGTGTGTGTGTGTGTGTGTGCATACTCTTATGATTAATTAATTGAAATCAGGCAAATGTCCATGTGTAGATAAGACTGTGGTCACTATAACTTCAATGACACTTTTACGGTCAATTTTATTCATTGACTTCATTGAATAAGTATCACCTTAGTTGAATACAGTAAGACATTATTCATTGACATTTAACATGATGCATACTTATTACATTTTCAAACTACAGCATTTTCAGATGATGGAAGTCAAAGCATCAGTATCTTCTATTCCCTCTTAGAAATGAAATTTTGCCTTTCAGACTAAGAAACATATAGTAGTTCATAATTAGCTGTTTACCATTCATTATTTAGAGTCCTTAACGAAGTGCACATGTATGACTATGTGTGTGTGCCTATATGCAGCTTATAACATAGCATATGGGTGTGCAAAACTGTCAGTGTGAAATTGACTCCCTCCTTACCGGATCTCCTCTTTGTCCTGCATCTCCTGGAGCACCCACAGGGCCAGGAGTTCCAGGGGCACCCTGAGAGCCTGGCAGACCTGCAGGCCCAGGGTCTCCACGATCACCCTAACAAGAATAACCATGATATTATTTTTTAACATTTATTCTAAAACAACAATATTCCATATGTTCATGTTATTCTTATAGTATTAATAATGGGAAAAAATACCCTTTAAAACTTATTTTTACTTATTATTTTAACTATTTTACTTATATTTATTAATTAATAAATCAAATTGAAAAGAATAAAGTTATTTCTTCCTAATTTCAAGTCTCATCCTTTCCCTCACCTACTCCCTATTGCTCGCACGTCAAGATCATTGGAGTATAGGAGTGATCACCTCCAGAATTTAACATGTTTTCTAGAGCACCAATCTTTAAGCTGGAATATTGGTATACTTGGAATACACAAAGACTTTCCAAAGACTGTGAAAACAAAGAAAATTTTAAGGAAACCACCTTCTAGATTTTCCTCTCCTTATGTATTCTTTCAGAAAACTATATTTTGATTATCCTTCCTTACTTCCCCTAAATAATCCACCTTCTCTCATTTTGTAAAAGAAAAGCAGAAATCATACCATCTGCAATCTTATTATGATGCAATGTCCCAAGGAATAAATACCTCTAGGCACTGAACTAAGGGACTTTTCCAGAATGCATAGTTTACTTGAGTATAAAGCTACGAAGGATTTGGAAAATAAAGAGGCTCCTTTTTATTTTATCCAGATGACACAATTATGACAAGGCTCCAAATATTACTTGTCTCCTTAAGAAGTCAGAGGTGAGATAAGCGTTATATGAACATGTCTAAACATAAATATTTGACTTGAAAAATTGAGTCAGACTGTATTTTCTGACAAAAAATTGTCTTATTTGACTGATAAATTTATCAACCTAGATAAACTTTGGCAATTAGGTTATAGAACAGACACATAATACATTGAATAAGCTGAATTGGCAACTTCAAGGTTTTGAAAAAAAAAAAAAAATACTTGCCCGGGCACAGTGGCTCACAAAGTGGGCTGTAATCCCAGCACTTTGGGAGGCCAAGGCGGCCGGATCATGAGGTCAAGAGATCGAGACCATCCTGGCCAACGTGGTGAAACCCAGTCTCTATTAAAAATACAAAAATTAGCTGGGTGTGGTGGCACATGCCTGCAGTCCCAGCTACTGGGGAGGCTGAGGCAGGAGAATCACTTGAACCCAGGAGGTAGAGGTTGCAGCGAGACGAGATCGTGTCACTGCACTCCAGCCTGGCAACAGAGCAAGACTCTGTCTCAAAAAAAAAAAAAAAAATACTTAAAGCACTTGTACATTTAGAATTTACCAGGAATCACCTCCTTTGCAACTATTTAAACTTGTGATTTTAAAAGGGCGATGGCAACTTAAAATAAGTAGAGAGATTTACCGATTTTCATAATTACTTCAGCAAAACCTTTGAAGATGGTTGCACTATATAGTATATATTGACAAAGGAAAAAGCCCAAGTTGCCAAGAGAATTTGCAGTCTGTGGATTATAGTAGATGAGCGGGACTTAGCCCAAGCTTCCTCCAAATCCTTTCTTCCCCTTTTTTTTCAATATGAGGTTGAGTGTCTATCCTGTAGTGGAGTGTTTAAACATGTCATTTAATATACAAATGCCCAATGGCATATGTATTAATTATATTTAAAGCATTTGAAAATGGAGGTTCAGAAAATCTGCTTAAGATTACACAGCTAATTACTTAGGGAAACAATATTCCAAATCAAGTCTGACTGGCTCCAAAGCCCATTCTGCTACATGATGAGCTTTAATTACATCATAACAGACTTTGGAGTGGGGAGTGATTTTGCCTTCAGTGGCCCATCTCAGCAGCATGAGATGACTGTGCAACTGCCAGAAGGGACTGGGGCTTCAGAGAAAGTTGGGGACATGTTCAGTTCAGCACATTCTAATTTAAAACACATCATGGAATATACAGTGTTTAAAAAGCCACATGGCTTATATTCTCATACGGCATTCACTTTAGATGGTGAATGGAAAAATTTAGACATTACACAGCACTATTTTGGCTTTCATGCTTTTGTTAATGAGTTTAAAATTTAGAACACTTCATATATATCCTCATCCAAAGCCTTTATGTTAAACCAAAGATGGCTTCAATTTTATCTTCCTGCTCTGAAAAAATACCATCTTAATTTGTTGCATATTCAAATATCATTTCATTTACAAGATATAAAAATTATGGCTTTACAGAAACAGTTGTTATTCAGAAAAATCAGAAGTGTATTGGAACTATCAGGAAAAATGACAGTTTTTAGTGTAAATTAAAAAGATTTCAGATTTGCATGACTTTAGATTTTATAATAAGTGAAATGGCTCTTACACGTTCTCCAACAGCACCATCCCGTCCTGGGGTACCATCATTGCCAGCTGGACCCTATAAAGAATAATGGTTTGAAAAACTACTTAACTGAGTAATGAAAAAAATCCTCATTCCAATTGTCAAAAAATGACAGCATGTTTTACACCTGTGTTTTATAAACTGTCAGTTAGCATTTATGCAAATGTCAGCAGAAGAACGGTTTCTACCTCTTTTTCATTATTTTGAATTACTGTAAAATTAACATATTCTTACTTAATCCATATTCTTCATTTATATTTCTTATTTTGAAAAACAAAAAACCCACAAATATTTTGAAATAGATAACAATTACATTCTTGCCACTTTATGTTTTGCTTGTATTAACAATGAAAGGCTTTTCTTACATTTACTTCTTAAGATTATTCAAATATCCTTAAAGTTTTGAAATAAAATAACTGTTTCAATATTAAACTACTTTAAGAAATAGTCTTCCTTTTCTATTTTATTGTGATTTTTTTCATAAATATGTCTTTGCTATTTGATCAAAAATTGTTCCAAAGGCTATTGATTCTTTCTTTCAATAAAATGTTACATTAACTGTTTGATGATTCACTCCTTAAAATCCTGAACAGAGGATATTCCAGCCTTTAACTTCTCAAATTGCCTATCAAAAACTGATTTCCTCCCAAAAGTGCCTAAAGGAACATGATATCCATTATGTTACTTTATAGTGATATTTAAGTAAAATGATCTCTACTAACTTTGCCCTTTTCACAAGCTGGAATAGCTATATTAATCCTATCACCAAAAAACTTGGCAATTTTGATAAATATGTCATTACAAAATGAAATAATAACAAGGGAAAGATGAATGGATGTGTCCTTTCACCCTCAAAACAGTTTGGCAACAGCTTAAATGAACTAAAATACTTAGCTCCAGACTAGATGAAGGTCAGTGCAAAGACACCGATCCTATTACCTTTTCTTTATGTCATCACTTAGCCAACTCTCTAGGGAAGTAGAGTACATCAAATAACATTACTAAGAAACTTTCTTAAGGTCAAATATGCAATAAAATTCTAAATCAATTGCTAAATGAAAAAAATTGTTTCCATGACACCAGATAACAAGAGAAGAGTTATTTTCACTGTAGTACTCACTTCTGGTCCAGGTTCCCCTACAGGACCATTGGAGCCTGGGGGCCCCACAGGTCCAGGTGGACCTTTATCTCCTGTTGCACCAGTTGGTCCTACTTTTCCTGGTGTTCCCTGAAATAGAAGTATAAATGTCAAACACTTGTGAAGAAATTGAAGAACGCTAGTTCCCATAAAGGCTAAGTTTTCAAAATGGTGCCTCTGGGCTCCTTCTATAATAATAATTTTGCATTATCTTACAACACTCATGTAATCATAATGCTTTCTTAGAGGCCTGCCCACCTCCTATCAGACTCCTCTTGACGTATCTAAGGGACCAAAAACCAACCATCTGTTGCCACCAGCACAGGTGTGCATTTTGGGTTCTAATCATGTGTACCATAGGTGATTCTAGCTGCCCTTCTGGAATTTGCATCACTTTCATCCTTTTTCCCCGCTCTGCTTTGTCTGTTCATTTTATTTCTATATTCTGATACTTTGATCTCACTCTTGAGAGATTTTACTTTCACATTCTTGGCTCACTTCTGATAACAATAAGACATCCCTTAGCTCCTACTTTGTTGGTTTCATATTTCAACCCACATGTCTCCCAGTTCTAAGATCCCATACATCTCTCTGTCTACATTCCATATGAAAACATCATTAATTTTTTTCAAGCACTGTAATCTTTTAGCAATAAAATTTAGTCTCTTCAAAGCTAACTTTGAATCAAACTTTTATCCATACTCCAGGGAATATAAAATCCTAAAGCACCCTCCAGGGAACAGGAGATTACCTTCAGATCCTTCTTCAGCATTCCCCCTACATTCACCTCAAATATTACTTTAGCTCAACTATGTCTTCCCTTTGATGGTTTACTGTAAAATATGGTATTTTTGTTAAGCATGTTTACTTAAAAAGACACTACCTATTCACCAGAAGATTATCCCCCTCCTCTAGCTCCGGGATCTTTTTAATCTTTGAAGAAGGATTTAAAGGTCACCAAAAATCCATATCCTTATTTGCCTACTTTTCTAGTCTCAGGGTTAAACAAATATATATTTTCAAAGACTTTGTAAGGTAGTTAAGAATTTGACATTTAAGATCAAAAGATTTTTAAGAGACTCAAAAATTAATGTCCCTACAATACTGTTTAAATCTATTCATCAAGCAAAAAAAATAAAATCAATTCTCTAAACAATTTGTATTGCACATATGAGATAAAATATTGACCGATGCAGCTACTCACCGCTGGGCCTGGTAGGCCGGGCATGCCTCTCTCTCCACGTTGCCCAGGCATGCCAACAATTCCTCTCTGCCCGGTCGTTCCAGCTGGACCAGGGGGGCCATCTGGACCCTAATGTTGAGGACAAACTAAAATCAGAAACTATCCAGGGTAAAACTGTACCCAAGGAATTTACAATAAGTTGGGTACAGCTTTACAGGTTTTTCAGTATGAAAAAGAAGTTCTCTGTTTCTCAAAATCATACTGCATATGAGTAGTCATAAATTGTAATCCGCACAGAACCTCTAACATTATTTAAAGGTGAAAACAGCTCATCCGTTGGAAAGAAACTGAAGATTAATGTGAATACTGACTCAATAAAAGAGGTAACTTCAGAGAAATATTTTTTCTTCTTTATAAAAAGACAAAAAGAAAGTTTAACAATAAGGAAAAAAGAGTTATCTAAACACAATATTTAAAGGCATTTGCATATAAAATATAATATACATATATTTTTAAAGTTATTCATACACAATGAACATTTAACAAATAATTTTTTTGGGTTTAGTTTTTAGATACCATATCTATTACTGCTATTTTTAAAATCTATATATATACACGTTTTTCCTAAAGCCTTATAGATTTAATGCACTTTAAAAATTTTAGGAATGTGCCCAGCATAATATTTAAGCATTTTTGTGACACTGATCATTATGGGTTTCTATTTGTAAATATCTCAGTTGAAGGTGGTCTGGAACGGATACGCCAAACTTACAGGTTGCCCATCTTCTCCTGGGTCCCCTTTGTCTCCTGGGCCACCAGGGGGGCCAGCTGGTCCTCGATCTCCCACACGCCCATGAGAGCCAGGGTCCCCACGAAGACCTGGAGGTCCCTCCTTCCCGGGTTCCCCTAGGGGTCCCGCAGGTCCTGGAGCTCCCTAGTATAACAAAGAAAGAAACACCAAGGAGGGCAAAATGGAAGGCAAGTAAGAGTGATTGACATAACGCTGTCTGCCTCAGATGCAGATGTCCAAGCCTCGCAGGTTCATTTTACCTGTTAGATAATCAGTCATTCTATAGGATTTAAACAAAACAAAACAAAAGAAAACACAGCTGTAGATTCATTCCCCAGGGGGAAAACTAAATATCATTTGCAGTCAATTCCCTTTGAATAATTTTTAAAGAGTGGTGCAACTAACTTGAATTTTCAAACTTATTTAAAGCTCCACTCCAATGATGAATATATAATACTTTATTCTGAGATAATTATTTATTCTTATGATTTGATCTTATAATGAATGACATTTATTAAAGAAAGTTTCATAGTTGCATCTTAACTGAAGAGAATGATTATTAGCACATAATACTGTAAGTATTCAGTATTTAAACGGAATAATAATAAAACATTGGGGCTAAAAAGAACTTGCAAATTAGCTCCTCCAAGAAATACTAGATTATTAAGGATGATTTGCTTTGCTGAAATACCAGCATGCATTATTGGAATAAGAGTTGTTAAATAAGAAAACATACCATTAAGAAATTAAATAAAATAATAAATTTAACTCAAATGTATACGTGTGTGTGTAATTATTTCATTATCAGTGACTTGTCTCACTAAGTTGACTTACAGCAGGGCCTGGAGGTCCAACTCTGCCCGCAGAACCAGGAAATCCTGTAGCACCCTAGAACCAGAATATCATATAAGCAATTTTTAAGGTAATATAAATTAGTTACATGTATTTTCCTGGGATTTTTTTTCACAGGAAGACTGAAGCCTTTAGATTTCCTTTCATGTTGTAAGCAATATTTTTTTTTCTTCGTACGAATCCCATATTTTGGGGAATTAATCTAGATTAACTGGTAGGAAGGGCACTATTTTCCTTTTTCCATGCAGGTAGTACTAGAATCACATTGATATTTTATACAATCAAATTAAATAAAGTGCTTTCACATTGTTTATTTACTCTTTTATATAGGTAGTATGTTACTTACATTACAGGTGAGGCACCTGGGTCTCCAAGATTACAAACTTGATTTTAACCCAAATCTCCATCTGAGTTAAGTGCCCTTTGCACTATAGTACAGTTGATACAGGTAATAATTTGTTATTTCAGTCTCAGATGAAAATTATCTTTTACATGACCAGGAAGCACTAGGTAACTAGAATTAGCTGTGCATACTTTGCAGAGCATCAAATAAACTTACAGGCGGACCTTGGGTTCCTCGACCACCTTTTAGTCCAGGAACACCATTAGGACCCTGAATAGAAACAAACAAAAGAGCACTATAGTGAAGCAAAAGAGGCTGAATGTACACTCCAAACATGGGGCACTTGACTCAAGTTATGCCTTTTTCTTGTTAACTTACATGAGGGCCAGGGGATCCTGCTAAACCTTGTGGTCCAGGAGAACCAGCATCTCCCTTCTGTCCTGGCTCTCCAGGTTCACCTTTTACTCCAGGCTGTCCGTCAGGACCCTATAAAAAATTATACAAACAAGCAATTGATTATAAGACTTATAGACAAATTACTTTAGAGTAATTATTACTAATGTATCAATTAATCATATATTGTGAAACAGTGCTTTATAATCAGTATTAAAGCATACTAAAGGAAAAAAAGTACTCTGATGAGATCTTTCAAAACAGCCTAAAAAATAAGCTATCCCACTGCATTTTTATTTTAACAAATAATTATAGAAGCTCAACTAGCACAAACAAGTTTTGTGCCAGTCTATAAAAAAATGTATTGAAAATGAGAATATTGTCTAGAAAACTGTAAATTTTCCAGAATACGACTTCAAAACATATGACAATGATCATTAAACTTATTATAACAAGATAAGTGTTTATTTGTAAATTAGGGATATTTGAAAATTATACCTGGGGTCCGGCAAAACCAACAGCTCCAGTTGGCCCATTTTCACCTCGAGAACCCTAGGAGGAGACAAAGATTACTGTAGCTTTCACACATTATCCTAAACAGGAACAGTATTTTAAAATATGATCATATAAATCTGATAGTTAGACATGTAAATATAGAAAAATTACACATATTGCTTAAGGAAGGTCCTTAAGGATTATATAAAGATATAGGTCATAGAACAAAATTCCCAAGGTCAGAAGTCTCAAAGGAGCCTCCAAATTAGTTAGTAAACAAGCTGCCTAACTACACTTAATAGATTGTATAGCAGATAATTTTTAAGTTTAATTAGAAAAGCAAAAGCTAAAAACCAGGAAGTTATACATAACCTAAAACCAATAAGCATTGTTTTATATAAATATAAAAACAAAATGATTAATTGTTTTATTGCTCAATCTCACACTAAAGAACACCAAAATACTGTCACTTACAGGATTGCCCCGGGAGCCAGGAGGGCCAACTAAACCTCGAGGACCAGGTTCACCCTAGAAAGCAGATTTTAGATGGTTACTGTCCAAAACAGTAGCTAAACATAATTTTAGGACATTGGTCACTGTGTAGGAGGAGATAGTGGAAAAGAACTCTGAAATGATCTTGCTCAGATACCATATGTTATAAAATGAAAAGATTTATGAAAGAGCCTGCTATTCAGGACTCATAATTTTGAGTGTACAAATTAACAACTTGTGACTTACCTTTTCTCCAGTAGGACCTGCCGGACCTGGAGGGCCCAAAGGACCTGGAAGACCCTGTCAATTAACAGAACATAGGCATATTGAGGTAAAAAATGCACAGAAATCTTCATGCTTAGCAAATCAACAAACAAAAAAGAAACGACTATTTTGTTATAATTTGGCTGCCTTTGCAAATCATTATCTATAATAAATGATATAATCTATATATTTTCAAGAGTTTTCTGTCTAGTTTAATACCATTTCCACCATATTTTCTCCACACAGTGTTTTAATCTCTTTCATGCAACCTAATTCATGCATACATAAAACTGTTTTCAGGCATTAGCACTACATTAATGCTAAGCTACAAAAATGTTTCTATTTCTTAGCATAATTAGCTTTGCTAATATTTATTCGGACATTTGACCACAAATTGAAAAGAGGCTTTCCTTCTTTTGCATATAATATTATATTCTTAAATTATAATAGCAAAATATCACTTTTTTACTTTTAAAAATTGAAATTGTGTTAAGGCATTTTAGGTGTTTTTTCCTTTTTTTTTTTTTTTTTTTTTGGCACAGGGTCTCCACTCTACATTGCCCAGAATGGAGTGCAGTAGCCATTCACAGATGTGATCACAGCACATGCATCTTTGAACGCTTGCCCTGGATCACGTGATCCTCCCATCTCAGACTCCAGAGTAACTGAGACTACAGGCACAAGCCACTATGCCTGACTTAGTTTTCTTCATTTTTTTTTTTTTTGAGACGGAGTCTCGCTCTGTCGCCTAGGCTGGAGTGCAGTGGCACCATCTCGGCTCACTGCAAGCTCCGCCTCCCGGGTTTGCGCCATTCTCCTACCTCAGCCTCCCAAGTAGCTGGGATTGCAAGCGTCTGTCACCACCACACCCGGCTAATTTTTTGTATTTTTAGTAGAGACGGGGTTTCACCATAGCCAGGGTGGTCTTGATCTCCTGCCCTCATGATCCGCCCACCTCAGCCTCCCAAAGTGCTGGGATTACAGGCGTGAGCCATCGCGCCCAGCCAGTTTTCTTCATTCTTTTGAGATGAAAAGGAAAAGTAGCTAAAGTTTACAGCCTAAAACCCCAGCTACTTTGAGATTTATGGGCATAGGAGAGCTAACACTTAGAGGACAGTACAGCTAACACATGGGGACACAACCTGAGTCTTCTTGACAGGTAATCACAAACTTGAAACTGTGGGAATATTGAAGTCCTCTTTAAAACAAGTTCTCTATCTTATAACTGTGTCTTGCCTCTTCATATGCAGCCCAAATATTCTTTCATCGTTTAATTTCTGTATGTACAACTAAAGAAACTTAAGGAACAAAAATGACTTTAATTTTATAGATTTGACAAGAACATAAGAAATCTGTGTTCTTATAGTCTCTGGATCTACAATGGAATGATATCATTCCAATAATTTATGTAATATACTTCTTTAAAGGATTTGATGAAATATAAATATCACTTCATTACTTATGTTTATAGATTTTTTATACAGAGAAAACATGTTATTCATTTTTTCCCTACTATGAGATTGCAGTAAGTGCTTTGCTCTGCTTCTTTCCTGCAACAATGTAGTGTCCTCATTAAAAATAAAGCAGTCATTGCTTACATCCTGGTCCTATCACATTGCAATTTCAAAGTTAGTTCATAGGCACAATTGATATGTATTTTAGATTTTCCCTTAAAACAAACTGCCAATGCATCGTTCCTATAAATAGTACTGCACTACTTATGCATTCCAGGACATCCATGATGTAAAATATTAAAAATATGCCAGATTTACTTGACTATTTTTGAAATATTAAATTAAATATTAGATTTAACTAAAAGGCAAGGTGTATCTTTTGTGCATAATTTGTTAAAAGAAGTGGTGCATCCTTAATTAAATTTGCATAAAAAGGACTAATTACCCTTAAGATGAAAATTTTCTACTACATTTCACTATATTTCCTTAATCTAAAGCTATTATAACCAATGTATTAACAATGACTCAATGTGCAGAACCAAATAGCAGTTCTCTTTTATTATGTTACAACTGTAATTGCCAGGGCACACATGACAACTAACAGCAAACCATGTCATACTGAAACAGAAATCATTAGTCAAATATCAGGTACTATTCCAGAAAATGATGGATGTTTAAGCCATTGTGACTAGCCACTCTTACATGAGGAAATCATTTATGTCTGAAAATATATTGTCCTTCGAGTCTGATTGTCCTTGGAATTGTAAATGCATTCTAATTTCAAAGACCTAACGCTTGTTAAATGTCAATTTCTGACATGACATTAAACAATGCTTTGCAGTTGACCATCCTTCTGGACATTCTGCTTGTTCAAACTGTTTATTAATGATAACATTAATGACGATTCACTGTGCAGTAAATTTCTCACCCCAACATCCAATATACTGAGAAACATTTATCACAACTTTGGTGACTCCACAAAGCTCTACTTGTCTATGCTGGAATGAAGTATTGGCCAGCTCACTAGATTAGCATTTTAACAGAAATAAACCTTGTGTATGAAATAAAAAGATGATAGAGAAAGATAAAGAGGGCCCCCATCCCCTTAAGGCACTTATCTCATAGGCACAATAAATATGTTTTTATTTAAGTTTCATTTAATTCAGGGTAAGCAAAATGAATAAACCGTGGTTGAATCACAGCAGATCTCACATGCCATTATTCTCCAACTCCTGACTACCAAGGAAACATGACTGACTTTATTTTGGAAGGTTCAGGGAAACTCATATGATACTGTAATGTTGGTTCCTAGCCCAGCTAGAAAAGGAATACTTTCACTTACTCTTGCACCATCATTTCCAGCTGTGCCTTCAGCACCTTTTTCTCCTATGCCACCCTGGGAAAACACACAAAATACAATTGATTCATTTAATTGTCTCTTTCCCACACTTGTGTGTAAGTTTCATGAGAGTGAAGGCTAATTGTCATTTTCCTAGTCGTATCCAGGTGAGCCTGGGATGGTGCCTCACACTGTGCATTTTCTCAGTAAATGTTTATTAGAAGAATGAAAAATGAATGACTAGTGACTCAGGATGGTAGAAATAAAAGCCTGCTCAAGAAATCATTTCATTTTCAGCAGAAAGTCTGAATAAATGAACTGAAAAAAAAAAAAAAAAAAAAAGGACTTACTCTGTCACCCTTGGGGCCAGGAGTTCCTGCAATTCCTCTTTCTCCCGGCATACCTTGAAGACCTGGTGGGCCTGTATCTCCAGGGGTCCCAGATGGACCTGGACTGCCCTAAAATGAACCAACATTAAGTGACCATACCAATAATATTAAGATTAAACTAATGAAATTGCTTTTTAGTGGGTCAAAAGTAGTTGTCAGCAATTTCATGTAGTTCAACTTAGTGCTTATATTTTTCATCTGAGAAAGTTGTCTCTGAGTGAGTTGATATTTTGAAATTAAAAAAACCAGATTTTGTTTTTGATTGCTGCTTTATATTTTTAACTTTTCTCTTAAGAGGCAATTGAACGCTATTTCAAATAAAAAGGATAGAGTTGCCTTTTTTTCCCTCTGTTGGCAACATAATGGAATATATTAAGAAAGAAAGACATTACATTTAGAGAAATATTTCATTCTCTCTTTAATGAAACTGATATTTGATATTAACCTGGTTTTCAGGCTAATATAGTGTCTAAATTGTAGTAGACTGCATCAATCACTCTAAACCCTGAAAATAATAAGGGGTCTCATGTCACATGACCATGAAAAATTCTACTTCAATTGTTTATACTGAAGTTGGCCACATTATTTTCTACCAATCACTAAATGGCACACATTTCTGCCTTATGATGCATTATATTTTCAGATTTTAAAAGTTCCATATTTTCACATATGTAGTAAGCAGAATTGTGAAACCTGAGACAAGGAAAATGGAGCATATTATTAGAAAAGCCTCCTAATAAATTATGTAATTTTCTATTTCTTTCCTCTGTTTATTCATAGAAGCCACTAATAAAATGTACATAAACATTAGAAATGTGTTTGTATATGGAAGTCTATCACCATGTGCACTAAACTACAATCCCCATCAAAGAAGAGAGTCTTCTTTTTAGCTGACACTTTAGTTGCAAGGAAAAAGCCTAGTAAGCGCTCATTAAATATTTGTGGAAGAAGAAAATGATATAATCAAATTATCTTTCAAAAACAAGACAAATGCATTCTCACACCATCATGCGTTTATTAAGCAGTAATTTTAAAGCATTTTAAAACACTGAGATCACTATGACACTTACTTTTGGGCCATCAGGACCATGTCCTCCAGCCATTCCCTTCTCACCAGGGAGTCCAGTTATCCCAGGTTCTCCTCTTTCCCCAGGATTTCCTCGTTCTCCCTAGCACAAAATTGGGATGTCAAATAATCTCAATACTTGATCTAAAAATAGGTCAAAATGTTTCTGAGAAATGGCTTCTACTGCGGAAAAATTCAGAAATGAGACATTACTAAATCTCAATTTTCTAATTTAGTGATAAGAAATAAATTTGAAGTAAGGATATGCTAGTTTCATAGCACAAAATATTTCTCATAAAATTAATTTTTATCCAGTCAAAGAATTTATAGGTTAAAATAAATCCCAGTTTAAGATTTTAAAAGACACCTTTTAAAACTGAAGCCAGTGGGAAACAACATTAATCATGAAGATTAAAATACTTACTCTAGGTCCTAACGGGCCAACTGCTCCGGGATCTCCAGGAACACCCTATAAACACATTTTTTTTTTTTAATGGAACAAGAGCTTTGAGTTTAGGCATTTATCAGAAAACTTTCCAGTTCATACACCTAGTTTCTATTAATGTGCCATTAGAAGGCTGCATAAGCCAACAATTTAAAGAAAGAAAAGTACGTATATTTTTATAAATGAGGGAATATTACATGTTTTAGATGAAAACATTTTTCCAAAAAACTTTGTATTATACCTGAATGTTTGATTTTTGGCAATGAGAACATGCAAAGTACTATTTCACAAAGATAGAGCATTAGTTTTTTAGAGGCAACAAAATACATGCTAAATGTCTTTTTTTAAACTAATGGAAGATGAAAAAGTTTAAATAAAGAAAAGTTATATAAAAAGGGCTAAAGAGTTGGTCTTTTAAATAGAACCAATCCAATTCTACTCAATTAAGTAAATCTTTCTTGAGCCTATAATATGGACAAAGCACTCTACTAGGTATTGTGCATTCAAACCAGTGCAGTCATGTCTAAATTAAAAGTTTGTTTGTTCTTACATAAAAGAAAGTTTGTCAATTTGAAATTTCTTTCTTTGATAAAGATAACTTTATCAAATAGGCCTCCAATCTTATTCTCCGAAATGGACTGTCCTCACTGTGGCCTGATCTCCCTAATCTTATCATATTACTCCTTCCTTAAAAACCCTTCTTTTTTCTTTTCTGGTTTTTTTTTTTTTTTTTTTTTTTTTTGAGACGTTGTCTCGCTCTATCACCCAGGCTGGAGTACAATGGTGGCATGATCTTGGCTCACTGCAACCTCCACCTCCTGGATTAAAGTGATTCTCCTGCCTCAGCCTCCCAAGTAGCTGGGAATACAGGCATGTGCCACCATGCCCAGGTAATTTTTGTATTTTTAGTACAGACGGTTGGCCAGGCTGGTCTCGAACTCCTGATGCCAAGTGATTCACCTGCCTCAGTCTCCCAAAGTGCTGGGATTACAGGTGTGAGCCACTGTGCCCAGCCTAAAAACTCTTCCTTAGCTTCCCATTACTCTAATGATGAAGAACAAATTAGAATCAAATTAAAGCCCTCCATAATCAGGCCCCTGAGTCACCCTGCAGCCCCCTTTCTATTTTCCCCAAATTACATTACCCACTCTGATTTGTAAGCTTGTCTCATTTCCTGGAGGTTTTTCCTATCTTCCCTCCTTCATCATTATCATCATTCATCTCTCAGATCTCATAAAAGATATTACTTTGTCTGGAAAACCTTTCCTAAAACCCCCAAGTCTTATTTAGGTGCATCTTTTTTGTTTCCATAAACATAGTACCTCCCTTATTATAGCATTTAGAGCATGCTATTATTGTAATTGTCCTATACTCTCTGAATCCTACTATACTGTAAGGACAGCAAGGTCCAAATCCATTTTGTTCAGCTGGTTCAGGCCAGTGCTTTGTAGAGGCAAGCACACAGAGTGTTCAGCAAATATTTATTAAATGATTAAATGAACAAATGAATCATTCAAAGAAAAATAAATAAATCTATGAGCCAGGAAAACGACAGAATAAAATTGTTAGTATTTGTCCATAACTGTTTATATAAAGTGGTTAAGAACACATCTTGGGAAGCAGATGACCTGGGTTCAAATCTATTAACTGTGTGACTTTGGGAAAGTTATCTAACATCTGTATGCCCCATTTTCCTCATCTACAAAATGGAGATAATGATAGTACCTAGTACATAGGGCTGCTTTGAGAACTCAAAGAGATAATGTATGTAAAGGAAAGCACAACAGAGCCTCACACATAAAAAGTGATAATTGAGCCAGCAATGTATAGTGTTGCCATTATTATTATTTAAACACTTACTTGATCACCTGGTTTTCCACCTTCTCCAGGAGGCCCTGGAGGACCAGGAAGCCCCTAAAACAAAAGTAAGAAAATAAAATTGTGAATCTGTGTAAGTTTAACAGGCTACCAGTGTTAACAGTTTACCTTTTACAATTCATGGGGTCTCCAAGACTATATTTTCAATGAAAATATATTGTTCAGACATTTTAAGTAAAAAATATTGTTCAGAAGCATTAAAAAAAGACTACCAATAAAACACAACAGCTAGTCAATTTATAGGATTGTATTTTCATCTGCACACCACTTAGCAAAAAAAGAGATAATGTAACAGGAGCTTCTTCATATTTATAGAGTTTTTATGGCTCTGTGAACAATATTTTAGACTGCTAGAATATTATTTAAAGTCAGTCCAGAAAGTTTTTTTTACAAATTATGATCTTCCTCCTATTAAATAATGTACATACTGATATATGTAGATAAATTATGAAACTTTGTTCAATAAAAAATTCTAGTCACTGTGCCGATAAAACAAAATCAGCCTTAAAATGGTTTCATAAACTTTGTTGAGCTATCAGAAACATTTTATTCCTGATATCTTTTTATTACTTTTTTGTTATTTTTTATTTGTTTTGTTCATAATTTGCAGGTTTGATCAGTTTTTTTAGAAGCCCATTCCTTTACTTTGAACAAAAATGTTCGATTTTATCCAAATGTCTATACTATCTACTAAAAGAGGGATGACTTTTTGAAAATTGTAGAATTTCAAATCTTCTGACCATATCTTTTTTTTTAAAAAAAAAAAGCATTTTAGTTAATGGAAGATGAAATGGAAAACCGAATTAGTGCATACCTGAAAACCTGTGGGGCCTGGAGGTCCTTGTTCTCCTCTTTCACCAGCTAGACCCTAAGTTGTGAAGGAGAAAATAATTGTGAATATAACCAGATCTTTGTCTGCTTCCTCTCTACGTGAACCACTAGAAGTACTGATATTTATTTGTATTTCTTCCAATCACATGTTTTTCTCTTTAGCCAGGTAATAAACTAGTATTAATAGTAACCAAATGGTATTGTTTGAAGTCTCTGGAGGTGAGAAAATATCTTCTAAAGCCAGTAACTGATAACATGTATTTATTTTTTGATCCAAACTTAAATGTCTGGAGCCAATTGTAAACTTATGGGGAAATTGGATTGAATATAGGAAAACCCATTACTTTTGTATATGTAATCTAAAAACATAATATTTTTATTATAGTTTATTTCTGAATGTCTTAAGAATTATTTATCAAGACTTCAAAAACAGAATGACTAAAGAAAGCAAAGCTAACATTTTAGAAAGATTTAAACTGCCCCACCCCCCCAAAAAAATATGCCAAAATATTTCGGATAAACACTTCATTTGAAAGTCCTAAAATGAAAATAGACCTCAAAGAATAAGTATTATTCCTTTTATGTCCTAAAAAATACCTTAAATAATTTTTTTTTTTTTTTTGGAGATGGAGTCTTGCTCTGCCACCCAGGCTGGAGTGCAACGGTGTAATTTTGGTTCACTACAACCTCCGCCTCCCGGGTTCAAGTGATTCTCCTACCTCAGCCTCCTGAATAGCTAGGATTACAGGCACATGCCACCATGCCAGGCTAATTTTTGTATTTTTAATAGAGACAGGGTTTCACCATGTTGGCCAGGCTGGTCTTGAACTCCTGACCTCAGGTAATCCACCTACCCTGGCCTCCCTAAGTGCTGGGATTACAGGCGTGAGCCACCATGCCCGGCCTTACATAAATTTTTATAAGATGCATTATTGAGAGAAGGTAAATAATTGAGTATCTAAATATTTTAAATAAAATATTTTATAAAATATTTGTTACACACTGTTTTCTTCAGTTGATATAGTCCTTAACTGTGACATATAAAAACCTTTGCAGTCAGAGTTTTACAGAAGTTTAAAGTAAAAAGATCAATCATTATATTTAAAAAGGCAGAAGACATTATCTCACAGAAATCAAAAGAGAAGGTATAACAGAAATTCTTCATTCCCATACATTCTTATTCACTTTCCCTGAAACTTACCCATAAGTCTTGAACAAACATCATCGAAAAAATGCAATGTGTGTATATATATATTCTCACACACACACACACAAAAATCACATACCGGCGGGCCCACAGGACCAGAAGGACCAACTTCACCATCTTTTCCAGGAGCTCCCTAGTATCACACACAGATATTTGTGAGGTGAGTCTATGATAATTTAAATAGTACCTACATTATTTTTCTTTAGCAGAAAATGTATATTTACCCTCTGCCCAGGAACTCCAGCATTTCCTGCTTCTCCAGGTTTCCCAGGGTCACCCTAAAGAATAAATGAAACTTTTGTATAATTCCTTCAATTTGTCAAAAACATACCTCCTCCAAATGAGGATCATGATGAGGTGGCCAACATATTATACACTGTACTCACACTGCTACCTTTGGGGCCTGGAAGGCCCATGCTCCCGGGCTGCCCTCTGATTCCTATGGAGCCTGGAGGACCTGGACGGCCATCTTCCCCTGGCGCACCCTATAGAATTGACAGGAGCCATGTAAGTTTCATGTAAGTTGTTTCTAAACATAGCATCACCCAAAGTGTCACCTTTGCTTACTATCATGTTACATAAATTTTAAATTATCTTGCATTTTCATGTTAAAGAATCAGGACAGTTGAATGGGTTTTTTAAAAAACACTGAAGTATTTTAAGTAACTAGAAGAGAGATTTTATTCTTATTCTAGATATGAGCTTCCTCATGATGTCTCCTGACAGTCATATTAATAGGGGAAATCTTTCTTCTTTCATTTACTCTGGTTTGTGGTAATGAAAATTCAGGACTTCTATTTCACATTGCAGAACAAGGGAAGATCTTAGAATATATAAGTTGTCAAAATTCATACCTACTTATCTCTTAAACATATAAAATTAGAAGGATATAAAAATGAGAACATTGCTAATAGACAAATTTCACCAACATTAAAAACTATATCATTTTAACATTTTCACTGATGTCAGGCAGGGAAGCAATTCAATCTCAAATATTTATCTTAGTAAAAATTTGATCTACATTTTTGTCAACTTGAAAATAGATCCTAAGAATATGCTTCCAGAAGTTGGTACAAATATGTCAATATGACCAGCATCCATATAATCAAAAACATTAACCTAAATAAATATCATTTAAGTTGCATGTCTGTTGAAAAATATTAGTGGTTGTGGACTTCTGTTTAAATTACTTACCAAAGGTCCAAGTTTTCCTTCAGGACCTTGAACACCAGGATTTCCTGTCAAACCCTGAAAATAAAAAACCAACTGTCAGTTTGTTGCTGATATGCAGTTGAAGTAAAGATTCTTAAGAGTAAAAATAGTGTTGCATTTTTGTCAACTGAATAGAATGACATTTCTGTAAATCAAATAAATTTTTAAGTGATGTATTGTTAAAATTTTTCAGAATTTCTCTGCCAAAATTACTTTATTTGCTA
This sequence comes from Homo sapiens, assembly GCF_000001405.40. NCBI lineage: Eukaryota > Metazoa > Chordata > Mammalia > Primates > Hominidae > Homo > Homo sapiens. The sequence continues at coordinate 189,064,222 of NC_000002.12, forward strand.
TATTGCTATAAAAGTATATTTACAAATATTTATAAATTCTTTACTTGCTAACAAGTTATAAAATTTGACAAACAGGATTTTTTTCTCATGCCAAGTGATAAAGCTATTAATACATACTGCTTTGAGAGAGACTAGAAGTTACCGTGTTTTCTATATATGATAAAAATAACAAACCAGTATTTTTTAAAATAATGAATTGGATCAAAACCATAAAAACAAAGAAATGTTCTAAACTGTAAAAACAAACTAAATTTAAAAACAAACAAAAACCCGACCAATGCATGCTCAGGAGCACTTCTCCCCTTTGATGTAGCAAACACTTGCTATATTCTTACCCGAGCACCTGGAAGCCCAGGTTCCCCTGGACGTCCTGGATCCCCCTGGCTTCCTTTGGGTCCTGAAGAACCTACAGGACCCCGTTCTCCTTGAGCACCCTGTACCGAGGCAAAGCAGATGCATGAAGAAAAAGAGTATAGAAAAACAAAAGCAAGCAGAAGTAAAATTATCGTTTTACAAATCAAGGCACTAATATAACATACAAATCAAGGCACTGATATAACGTATAAAATTTTGTCACCACATTCCGCCAACTAGCATCCTTCCCCCCTATGCCTCTTAATACAGGAATTACACAAGAGAGGATTGGGGTTAGGCCTGGTATTTGTATCCATCTCCTTTCTGGATCTGAGCCCATGCAGGCCATAGCTAGATCACCGTGCTGAAAAATGGCATCTTCTGGAGCACCCCCCACGTAAGTATCAACATTGACAGGGCAACCTCACCTTTGGCCCAGGTAAACCATCAGAGCCTGGAAAACCACGATTGCCAGGAGCACCCTACAAATGACCAAAATGTGATTCTTAATTGTTGTTGATATTTTTGCAATATGTAATGAATAGGTGATTTTTATTTTTAGCACTATAAAGTTTTAGGAGCCATCATCAAGCCAACATGGCTATAGATATGCATGAGAAAAATCTGACTCGATGGAAAAACTTTAAAATTTTGAAGAATATATAAGTACTGAGCCAAATAATTCCTCAAATCAAGAAATATTCTGCACTTTGGGAGGCCAAGGCAGGCAGATCACCTGAGGTCAGGAGTTCAAGACCAGCCTGGCCAACGTGGTGAAAACCTGTCTCTACTAAAAATACAAAAATTAGCTGGGTATAGTGGCAAGTGCCTGTATCCCAGCTACTCAAAAGGCTGAGGCACAAGAATTTCTTGAACCTTGGACGCAGAGGTTGCAGTGAGCCAAGATGGTGCCACTGCACTCCAGCCTGGACAACACAGCAAGACTATGTCAGAAAAAAAAAAGGAAGAAAGGAAGGAAGGAAGCAAGGAAATATTCTAACGATTCATAGTAAAATTAAACAGAGAAAACTGATATCTAGAGATGAGAGGCATAGGTACCATCTATAGCAATTAAAATGTCAACAATGACATGCATTAGTGACATTTTTGTGAAACGCTTTGCATTCTCCAAAGCTCTAGATAAATGTGAGATTACTGTTCTTCTTTTCAGACCTGTCTCACTGTGCTCCAGTCACAGCTACCTCTTCTGGTCTTTAAAATCACCAGGTCCTTTCTGCCCTCCCAGCTTTGCATTTGCTTTTTCCTCTGCTAAGAATGTTCTTCCTTCCAAGTTTTCTACTGGCTTATCATCATCTTCAGGTCTCAGCTAAAATGCTATCTTCTCAGAGGATCCTCTTTCCTAACCACCTAATCTAACATTACAACACTGACATATATGTGTAGTTACTCTCCAATGTGTCATGTCTTTACTTAGTGTGTGTATGGCATTTTTTAAAGTGTGTACATATATTTTTATTTACCCATTGACTTGTTTATTGTTTACCTCTCCACTAAAATAAACAACTATTTACTAGTCTCCACATGAGGACTAGGACCATAGCCTTCTTGTTCACTGATATAATTCCAAGCACAGATGGCTCAAATTGGCATAGACTAGTGATTTAACCAATATTAGTTGAATGTATGAATAATGATTAGTCAGTTGGCTCTTTCTATTTGCACATAACTGTACTGAACTGTGCAGGGAACCTGCAAGCATTTCTCTTAACTGTTCTAGTTTTCCTTACTGTTCTCAGACTTACACACATAATTCCCTCACAACTGTAAGAATGTGTTGTATTATTTAAATTTACCCTTTCTCCCACTGGCCCTGGAGGACCAACTGTTCCTGGGTCACCTCTGGGACCTCTTTTGCCTTCTTCACCGGGTGGGCCTATCGGACCCTGAATACCATGTGGCCCCTGTTAAAAACAGAAGGACAGTTACCAGAAAGACCCATCCAACCAGTGAATTATAGTTGGAAGCCTAATTTAACGAAGTCAGTCACAAATTTTAAAGTATATGGAACAATGAGATATTTTCATCTCAAGCTATTATAATTCTCATTATTATTTTAAACCCTTGAGCATTTTGAGCTGTACACTTCCAGACAATACTATGTTCTACTTATCATTAAAACAATGAAACCTTACTGGTTCCCCTTTTGGGCCAGCTTCTCCTTTGAAACCTGGAACTCCTGGATCACCCTGAAAAAAATATATTGATATTTGTAAGAACCAGGACATTTAGCTAGTCCAATCTGCTCAAATTAGTTACAATAAATAGGCTTTAAAAATTCTCTCCAGCTGAGTCGGTTTTGCATCAGTAGTATAATATAATCATTTTTAAATGAATGCATGTGAATATGTTAATATGTGTAAATTTTTATAAAATTCAGTATAATTTGGAAGCCATTTAATTTATAGTGGTCTTTAAGAGATTTATTTTTAAAATCATGTTTTTTATCATGTGTAGTAGAATAAATAGAATTATTGAGTTATTATTCAAATTTGAAAATTAAAATTGGAACTATCAATGACAATTTCTATAGATAAATACATTTAGGCTGTATTTTAGGATGTGAACTTGTTTACCCAGAATCAAAATAATTTTATATTTATGCCGTATTTATTGAGAATTTAGCAACTTCAAATAGGGCATTTCACTCTTGGAATGTTAGAGGGTTTTCTGTAGGTGTGTCTTTAAATACCAACTGAAATTTAAGTTGTAAGAACTGGATTGCAAAATTCAGAACTTGGTAAAATCAAATGTGACACTAGCAACACTAATGATTTAATAAATCTGTCACCAGCACTTTAAGAGAATTTATCAGCATGACCACATTACTTGGAACAGAATTGTAAATATTTATTTAAATATTTATTTTTATACATCAAGCTAAAAGCTATTAAGCACAACTTCTCAATGTGTTTATTTGTTATGGGTTCATCAAAATATTTTTTCTAATAAATAATTTCTGTAAAATATGAAAACATTCAATCTGACATTCAATCTGATTAATATATTTGAATCACTCTTTAACAATAACTCTGAAGAAATAGTTGTTGAACCCTAGCCTAATTGTCATTATAAATTCCTATTGAAGCTCCATATTCCTCACACTGGCTTGCATAATATTTTCATAATATTTATTATTCAATTATTCATAAAATTCTATGAGGTGAACCATAAAGTTATAACCTTATTATTTTAAATAAAAGAACACTAAAATTTAACATACTGCAATAATGTTCCACTTAGAATTTAAACATCTAAGTTGTACCTCAACATTTAGCTTTCACTTCACAAAGACTCCCATCTTCCCACATTTGGATAAGTCACGTTATCTATGTTTCATTGCATCACATGACATGTTATTACTCTTGGCCCTCGTAGTTAGATTACACTAAAGGATGATAGTTCTTTCAAAGGTCATTACCGGTTGGCCTCGAATTCCCTGAGGACCAGTGCTACCCTGAGGTCCTGGAGATCCAGGAGGCCCTGCTGAGCCAGGAGGACCAGAGGTACCTGGAGAGCCCTATTAAACAGCAAGAGTGATGTGGTAAGTAGAGACACAGGTAGCAGTCTGGGGCCAATGTCTAAAGAATCATGCCCATTTGAGCTTCACATGCCATAAATGCAGTACTCACCGTTGGGCCTTTGGCACCAGGAGTACCATCAGTTCCTATTGCACCCTAAAAGGTACATTAAAAGTATGTAATGAAATATTAAGCAATATATAGATACAAATGTGCTAGTATACAGATGTCCAGCCATCTTCAAAAAGGAAGTAGAAGCATTTTTTAAAAATCAACCACCATTATATCATAAAAATTACTTTTTTGACTACTTCTCCTTTACATAAAATAGGTAAAACTTACAGAGTTGACAAGGGAAATATATTTTTTCACAGTTGTAAGCACTCATTCAGAATTCAGAGAATATATTAAATTTTATATTTCAAAATAGCTAGAAAAAGAGGACTTAAAATGTTCCCAACACATAGAAGTGATATATGCTCAATGGGATGGATATCTTAAATACCCTGACTTGATTATTACACATCTTAGGCATATAACAGAACATTACAGGTACCCCCTAAATATGTACAAATATTATGTATCAATTAAAAAAATAGGTTGAATTTGTTCTGATGTTACAAGAAATGTCCAGCTTTCTGGGCTGGTTCTTAAATATGCTAGAAACTTACAGGAAGACCTGGAGAGCCAACTGGACCTGGGGGCCCAGTTTCACCTCTCTGCCCCTGAGGACCTTCAGGGCCTCGCGCCCCTGTAGGACCTGCTTCTCCCTAAAAGGGTGCAAAGGGAAATGTTAATTTAAGAAAAATACGAGAGTGGCATTGTACAAAGTTGACCGCTTATTTGGAATTTTACATTTGAAACCCAAATACTGAAAGAGGCCAAAGAGGATTACAAGAGATGCGTGCCCAACCAAGCTTAAGGAGCGCACTCACTTTCCCACTTCCTTCTTAAGGGATGACGCTGGTGGCCTCTTCACTAGGAATATTCTCCATATCCAATCTCCAGTTGAAGAAGCCCTACACCAGGGTTAGCTTAAGTTCCCTCTCCTCTGAACCTCCACAAAATCTGAGATTTTTCTTCCCACACCTATCAGAATTTACACTTATTACATATTAAACAGTTTAGATAATCTAAGTTCATAAAGAAAAACTAGAAACAGCCCTACACCTCAGGCACACTGAGTCTACTCAAAGAATAAGATAGTCTTAAATATCTTTTATTTAAGATATTTATCAAAGAATAGATATTCTTAAATCCACATGGTTTACTTTTAGTATGTTCTTACATAAATACTCAGGTTATTCAAGCCCATTTCTGTATAAACAGTGTATACATTCGGACTCTTTAACACAAATCAAATGAAGGAGAAAAACTGACCAACCCACTGTGCTTAAAGAGGTTGTTTCTGTTCAATGTAAAGCTAGATATTTCAAGTCTAAAAATTTACTACAAAATTAAAGCTTCATGCAATCATCAGAGGATAAATCATATTATTTTCCAATATTTATAAAACAACCTAATATCAGCTAAAATGTGCTGCAAGATTAGACAATAGTTTTCCAAATCTGTGAAACTCACTGTAAAAAGTCTATATAAAATTTCATACCATCATTACAGAACAATAAATTGTTTCCTTGCTATATAAGCAATATAACAAATCATATTTCAGAATATAAGATTTGAGTTGTAAAAACTCAGTTCCACCGACCTTCAAGAAAGCATTTATCAGTAAAGTGAAAAACATCTGGGCTACAACTTTATTTAAGTCTAATCAACTTAATTTTTGGCAGCATTATAAGCAAAATACCATCTATTTTTAAACCAAAGAAACAATACTTCTTTGATAAGAATTAAAAGATACTTTTTAAAGTGCAACATTAAGAGCAGAGTGAAGTGGTTAAGGTAACTTAATAGCTCCCTTTATTTCAAGCCAAGATAGTGAGTCCAGCTGGCAAATAAAAATGCCTAGTTGAGTTTTCATTCATATAAACAACAATAACTTTTAGCATAAGTTTTTCCCATGCAATATTTGAGGCATACTTATACTAAACATGTATTCTTTGCTCATCTGAAATTCAAACTTAACTTGGTTTCTGTATTTTATCTGGCTTATTATGTACCTATGTGGATCTAATCCTAAAGAGGCCTGGAAAACTAAAATTCTAAGCCTTAGGAATCTCATCAGTATCAGTAAAGCATATTGAATCTCTGTTTCACTTCATTGAAATGCAAAGAACTGGATTTGGAAATTTATTCTTTAGTCAGAGAGCAGAGACCATGGCAGAACTTTGTAGGAAAAGCAGGATCCTGTCCAAAAACAAAGATCCAGGAATTTTATGGTGGAGAGAAGCAAGAAGGAAAACACAGAAAATTTCTAACAGAAACAGTTTTGCTAGATATTTGAGTTTTATTGAGCAGTTTTCAGTAGCCAACAACCAGTACCACAAACACCCAGGAGGAGAGAGAAGTAACCAGAGTGAATGGTTGTGTAAACTATGATTGCTAGTGAAGTTAAAGTAAACCCCATGAAAGTTGTAGTATAAACCTCTTTCTGCTAATTCATAGATTTGTGAGTATTTCCTTAACCAGAACTCAATTTGGGGACGGAGGGTCTCACAAAAAGAGGGAAGGGATTTTGCATGTTTTGATAGGGGTATATAGAGAGTCTGGGCCAGAGTCTGTGGTAGTGACATTATTAGGACTTCAGGGAGCAGATCAGATTCAGAGGAGAACCCAACAAGATCCCACCCACTTGAGTTCACATTGAGTTCTCAGTGAATGCAGGGAAAGGAATTAAGGCACTATTTTAAAGCAGCGGCATCCCCATAGCACAGTGTTTGAATATGTCATTAGAGAGAGCCTACAGAATAATTTGACTTGGTGATTCTCACATTTTCAAGGAATATCTGAAATGTCAGCTACAGACATTTTTCTTCTGGTTTGTTTCTAAGTTTAAATCCAATTTGAGTAGCACAACTAATAAGAAGCACGAACTTACATTGAGGGTGTCCTCTGCATAAGGCCCTATGTGATGAGTTTACATAGATGGTGTCACATAATCCTCAACAAAATTCCATGAGAAAACAAAGTTTAGAGGGGCCAGGTGACTGTCCGTGACCGCAGTCATTTTTGTACAGCATAATCTTGTGCATAATCTCTTCAGGATTAAGAATGTCTTTGCAAAGGGAAACATGGCATCAGGGGAAATCAGATGTGTTATATTGCTTACAATTTGAAAGAGGTGTTCTGAATTAATTCACCAGTTTATCTAATGTAATCCTAATGTCCTTCTACTGTCATCCTTGAATTTATCCCAAAGTACTGAGAGAAAGAACCAATTGTGATTCACTACAAATATTAAGTCATCCCACAGAATACTTTAATCCATTCCCACATGAAGAGCCAAATATTCTCCGTGCCCACTCCTTTAATGGCTTCATAGAATTGGATTGTGGAGCTGGGGGAGTGCAGAGTGATAACAAATGTTAGGTGAAAATGTTAGATGCCTTTTGACAGCATCTAATTTATTTTAACCTCCTAACCTCCTATTGTTTGGAACATTCTGCTGTTTATTACTTCCAGGTACTCTATTCAAGAATAGAGAATAGAGTTCCTATTCAGTTTAAAGCTCCTATTCCTTATAGTTGTTTTGACTGGCTGGCATTAGAGTCCTAACACATCAGGTTCTTTGATATTATAAGGGTACAATTATAAGTAATTCTCCTTTAATTATATTTATACAGTTAATTTTATTTTTTAATGTATCTTTTTCCATGTAATAATGAAAAATGAGCATACTCTAGGCTCTTTCCTTAGTTAAAAGTAACTTTCACACTTTTCAATTAATTAAATGTCATTCTTCACTTTGGGACTCATGTAATCATGTAGCGTTAAATACTGTATATTAACATTAACATCTTACCTTCATTCCAGGATTTCCTGGAAAACCAGAAGAGCCTGGTATCCCAAGAGGACCCTATTAAAAGAAACCAGAAAAGTAATCAGACATGTATTCAATTAGTATCTAATTAGGTCATTTTTTAGAGTTTGGCGTCATTTTGTATTAGACACATAAGAATAACCTGCCTTTCACTTTAAAATTACAAAGATAATAGGCTAATTTCATTATAAGTACCTTCAACATCAATCTAAAGTAATACTAAAAGACATATCCAAGGTATTAAACATAATTGGATTACTCAAATAGCATATAGGATTAAGTCAATCACAAACATAAAGTGTTTCAAACAATTGCCTCTTGAGAGATGTACTTTCTTTGTGTTAATCAAATAATATAGTTTTTAGAAAGTTATATTTTATATCAAAATCTAGTACTTCATTCTATAAAAATGATGCTTAAGAACCATCTGGAGGCCAGGCACGGTGGCTCATGCCTGTAATCCCAGCACTTTGGGAGGCCAAGGCAGGCAGATCACCTGAGGTCAGGAGTTCGAGACCAGCCTGGCCAACGTGGTGAAACCCAGTCTCTACTAAAAATACAAAAATTAGCTGGGTGTAGTGGCTGGCGCCTATAATCCCAGCTACTTGGGAGGCTGAGGCAGGAGAATTGCTGGAACCTGGGAGGTGGAGGTTGTAGTGAGCTGAGATCACGCCATTGCACTCCAACCTGCAGTCAGACTCCATCTCCAAAAAAAAAAAAAAAAAAAAACCATCTGGATATTTTAGAGAGGTTTTTCAGGCAATAAGTGGATATTTATGGATATTTATATTACCCTACATTTGGGAAGGCATGCATAGAATTTAAACCATTGATTAAAAGACTAAATTTAAAAGAAGTGAGTATAAAAGGAATTCTAGTACAGATTACTCTAACTCTAAGGATTGTACTTTAGTCTCATCAGTTTTCAATTAATAGAAGCCCTTTCAAAATGTACATATTTTTTCATCCTATGTTTTGTTTCCTACTTATGAGAAACAAGGGAGAAAAGATCCTTGGGGCAAATGATTTCAATTTCTATAATTATACTTTACTTTTGGCTAATAGCTTTAAATTTATTTTATTTTATGATCGTTCAGTCTTGGCCCACGTTGATCATGAATATTTCCTACAATACTTTCTCTCTTTCCCTCATAATATTTTCTTTTCTTGGTGTTTTGTTAGCATAATTTACCTTGTAGAGCTTGACTCAGTTTTTCCTGTTGCAGCAAAATAAAATTGTTCCATGGACTATTTATTTAGGAGCATTTTCAGTAACAACTTTGTGCTCAATTACTACATTAAAAAATGGCTATAGAAAACATTTTATAAATATATTTGTGCTATTACAAAACACCACTTCTTGGTTTCCTGCAACAGCTATCCACATTGATGACCCTGTGAAATCATCTGTAGAGCTTTAAAAAATACTGATTTCTGAGTCTACCTCTAGAGATTACATTTAAATTGGATTGGACATCAATATTTTTAAGTTTCCAGGTAATTCTAGTGTATAGCCAAAGTTGAGAACCACTAATTTCATGATGAACAGATAAAGTTTACTACATGATGCCTACAATATAAGTATGTACATTTTACTAGCAACCAGTGTTAATAATATATGAAATAATTTATTCTAGATATCATTACATCTTCCTTTTAAAAGTCAGGGCACCACTATTAAAGTCACATAATTTGATGGGAAAAGCACATGTATAATAAGTTGCTCTAAAGTTCAGAAAATAACTTTATGTCTTGAAGCTCTTTTTAAAAATTAAATTAGTTTTGTTTTGCTTGTAGAGATATAATTTAAGTGTCCTTGACTGAATAATAGTAGAGACCTTGATCCATAGCACTGTTACAATTAAAATCTACTTCAGTTCCACACATCTCTTAGGATCCTTTGTACCTCTGGGTAACACAGCAGTTAATGGGCAGCAATTGAGGCTATTCACAAGGGAGAACTATTGCAAGTAATGGAATTTTAAAAAGGTAATATGCTTGAAATGTGTCAAATTTAAAATATTTGCCTTTGTTTATAATTTACATTTGATTCTATGTTTATAATTTACAGATGATTCTTTAGTCTTAGCCATCTTCATTTCATCATCCACATTACCTGGAGATGATCTTTCTGGTCATAAAGTTCCTATGTTTAAAATCTCTGAATGATCTCACACTAATTATTACAGAAAAGAGCTCAAAAACCCTTTAAATGGGTAAGTAAGTATAGCCCTTTATGATCTAGATCTAGTTATAAGTATTCAGATTTTCATCTTCAAGCGTGAATTAAAGGTTCATAGTTACAGAGGATTACCTATGAAATAGTGCAAGATGGTCTGAAGCAAAATACAATAGCCTTGTCCATACCAAGCACAAAAAAGCACAATGTACAAAATATTGGTACACACTGAGACCTCATCATTTCTCATTCCATGTTACATTTTTACTCCCACAGCTGTATTTATTGCCTGTATGTTAAAAATTTCCAAAACTACATTTGAAATTCAAATTTCTATCCTGAGCTCCACTCTTGCATATCTAATCACGAAATTGAATTCATTTATTCCCATTCTAAACTCAAACCCACAAACGGTATGCTGTTCCTCTTTCTTTATTTCCAATTTCAGATAAATTACATCATCCATCAAACACTTTAAACCAGAAATCTACTGGGCCATGCCCATGAGAGTTCTTAGCTCATTGACATGCAGTCGGCCTCTGTTACTACCATAATAACTTTAGTTCACATCTTTGTAATTTCTTTCTGGAATTATGCCAGTGGTATTCAAACTCATTCTTTATTCTTAGCCATCTTCATTTCATGTTCAACATTACCAGCAGATTATCCTCTGGTCATAATGTTCTTATGTTTAAAATCCCTGAATGATCGCACATTAACTACTATAGAAAAGAGCTCAAAAACCATTTAACATGGTAAGTATAACCCTTCATGATATAGCTCTCGCCTCTCAATCCAATTTTACCTTCCTAGAATTTTCTGAGCCCACTGTGTTTTGTCATCTATCTATCCTATGGACAATGCTATATTCTTGCCCATTTTATATATTAAATACTTATCTTTCAGGACTTGGCTTGAAAGTTGTTCCCATAACTGAAGTTGTATACTGTATTATGGAGTTAACAATTATGTTATACAACAATATTAATATCTCTCTCTTCCTTAATAGAACAGTTTTGAAGAAGTACTATGTGTCCATCAACTTTTTATTCCAAGTGTCTGGCATGTGGTGAGTGCTCTGTAAATGTTTTTGAATGTACAAATGGAAGAATGCATGAATAAATTAATGAATTAATATGAAAATAATATAACTCACCATTGGTCCAGGTTTTCCAGGCATACCATGTGCACCTCGTTGTCCCTAATTAAGAGAAAAAGAGACAAGACAGGATAAGATTACATTTTAGACTATATTTTCTCTTATTTGCCTTATAAAAAATTTCCATATTGCAAATTGAAGAATAAATATTAAAGTTAACTGACAATAACCCTCACTCAGTTAATAGCAATATAAATACATTTACACAAGCTGATATGGTAGTCATAAATGCATCTATCCTTATAGCAATAAGCAATAAAATCAAGATTGAGAAAATGAAACTGATTAAAATGATTCTTTTACTTTAATGTATCATCTTCTAACATATGAACTCAGAGACAATGAAAATTTGAACACCTCAGTATTCTTAATAGCCAGATTAACTCAGAGAAGCAATGTCCAGAAAATAAAATACACAAGAGAGATAAATTAAGTTATAGTGAATTCTGTAGGTTTCACCCAGAGCTCCCTTAAGTACTGAAGTATTCATCCTGCCAGCTGGAAATATAACCTGCTGATGGCTCACTATTGATACATTCCCTAGGAATTGCCCTCAGCTAAAGGGAATTAGCTCTCTCAAGACTGTGCTCTTTCCTTGGTCAATGCAGGGATACAAAGCATTGGCCCTTATTTGACACAAGTCTGCAAGAGCCATCTCAGCTCCATAGTTCCCCTGAAATTGACTGAGATCTCTGTTGCAATTGCAACACAATTCAATTTCTCCCTCTGAAAAACCCTGCTTTTATTCATTCCTTCCTTCAAAAATACAGTTTCTAAGAGCACTCACCAATAAATTTCCTGTACTGTATACAAGTCACTTTTTTGAGGCTGTTTCCTAGGAAACCTGACCTAAGACCCTAAGACCATTAATGTCAGAGTGGTTACAAGAAAGCAAACTCTAAAGTGGGATTTGTAAGCTGGATTTCCCACTGGTCAGCTGGTGACAGTTGGAGTATGAATCACCCTTGGCATGCCGCGATGGCACAATGGAAAATATTGTCACCAATGGTGAACAGAGATATTTTAAGGGAATGGGCTAGTAATGCAATATCTCGGGCATTTGAGAAGAATTAAGAAAATAACAATTATAAAGCTGATGGAATTGCATGGGTCTTGTATAGTGCATCTATTGGAGAAAGACACTAAAAGGCTGATGGTGATAAATCACCAAAGTAAGACTCCTTGGCAGCATTTTATTTTAATTCTCATCTGCAACCAGAGAGAAGAAAAAGCTGAATATCAGGCCAAGCACAGGGCTTAATGCAAGACTATGAGAGCTCTTGGGATGGCTGAATTCTCAAACCTAGAAAGTCTGTTATGTCACAGTCAGGGTCCTGGATTGGGAGGAGTCGGATTCTGAGATTTGGCAATAGGATATGTGGGTCAACACACTGAAGAACTTCAGCTGGGCCCGGTGACTCATGCCTGTAATTCCAGCACTTTGGGAGGCTGAGACAGGAGGATTGCTTGAAGCCAGGAGTTTTAGACAAGCTTGGGCAACAATGTGAGACCCTGTCTCTACAAAAAAAATTAGCCAGGAACGGTGGCATGCACCTGTAGTCCCAGCTATTTGGGTGAGAGTATCGCTTGAGCCCAGGAGTTCAAGGCTACAGTGAGCTATGATTGTGCCACTGCCCTGTAGCCTGGGCAACAGAGTAAGACCCTGTCCTCAAAATTTAAAGGAAAAAAAAGAAATTTAAAATCTCAGGTCCATCTAAAGTCACTTGGCCTAGAGAAGTGGCCCATTCCCCCCATTAATAGTTGGTAGTTCTCTCTTGTTGAAGATGATACCTAAGCCTCTAATTTGGAAGACAACTTAAGCCTCACTTCTGGACACCACACCAATAACTAACACTACTCCTGATTTTTTAAAAAGATATCATACACCAAAGCACCTATAAGACCTAAACATCGGGTAGAGGCGGGATCTGAGAAAGAATGTATGGGTCTTGGTCCTGAAGATACTGTATCAAAAAAACAGAATACAAAGTTGGAAAATTTTAATGATGTGGATACACTGTCTCGTGATATTGCAATTTAATACCCTGGTAAGAACCCTGAGAAATAGTGCTGACATGGGAGACAGTTCTTAGAAATGTGGGAAGAGCAATAGCCAATGCTGGGGCAGAAATGTCAGACCTCCCTTGGCAGACAGTAGAAGAAAGCACAGAGAAGTAAGCATACTATATTGATAGACGATGTTAGCCTAGATAAGCCAATAGCTGACTATATTCTATAATATTCTCTATATCCCCTTAGGACACTCTGCTTACTAAAGTGATAAAGAATGGCCTGGTGAGAGGGTCTTACACTTTCCAAATCAGGGCCCTGAATTTGGTATTGTTGAGTAGCTCTGAGGTGGTTGTCCTCTATGGGCTGGAGGTAATAGCAGAGACAGTGTAAACCCGCTATTGCTAATAGTAATGGGGATGATCGGATCTTGAAATAATAGAGGAAAGGTGGCAGTCCTTAACTATCTAAAGCAAGGTAGGTCCAAAGTAATGAACTATAAGTCTGAAATATTAGTCAGCATAGCCTGATCTTCAGAGAATTGCGAAAAGAATAATTAGAATATGCCTCCTATACAGGTTCAAGTTACATAAATAGTCTGCAAGAGTATTTCTCAATCTGTATAATTAAAATGAATCAAGGACAGGTGATCAGGAGGCTCACATCTTTCAAAGAGTGCACTCAGAGTAACCACCTTTTAGGAGTATGAGGAACATAAAATGCTTGGAAGAATTCTTGGCATATAATAAGCTCTTGATAAATGTTTCCTATTATTGTAATTTCATTAGTATATCCAAGTTTGTGTTTTTCTATGGACTATATTCCATGCTGTTATATGTATTCATTATTTTCTTAATTTTTGTATTAAAGTAGATGACAAATGTACTGTGGCTATATGTTAACATTAAAGCAAAGGGAAGGTTGTTCAAGAATTCTCTGTACTTTCTTTTCAACTTTTCTGTAAACCTGACTTTATTCCAAAAGAAAAAGAAAAAAAAAAAAGGTGACCAGTACTATTACTTTCATTTAAAAGGCAAGTTCAGTAAACCAAATCTGAAAATGAATTGAAATACACATCTCAGCAGTATAAGTAAAAGCAGATATACTTACAGGAGCACCCTGTGGCCCAAGTCTCCCTCTCTCTCCTGGCATTCCCCTCGGACCCTATAGACGATAGAGAAGAAATGTCTCTTGAAGCACCTAATTTGAAATGTAGAGTAGTCTGACTACCCCACTCAATCCAATTGAGATTCAAGATAATTGGCCACCAAGCAGTAGTATTTCCAGGGGCAATGTTGGGTTTGAAAAACTATCCCCATGTGGAGATAAATAACCTATCACCTCTTACATAAATAGATTTCACTTAACCTGGCTTTAATGGGCTAAATCTGCGATAATCTTGATTTGATCACTGAGTATAGAAAAAGAATAAGGGCATTCAACCGTTAAGAGAAACAGTGAAATGTGGGAAACCTTTTCTGTTAGAAGGGCTCAACTCTCCTGTGCTTGTCTATCAGCTGGTAATCAAGATTATTTTACTAGCCAACATATGTTGTCCATTTATTTTTATTTTTCATTTAAAAATTCTCTTGTTGTAATCTAAAAGGCAAGGAAATATAACCTTAGAAATTTAAGAAACAAGAAAACGAGCACATACCAGAGGACCCATGGCACCCATTGGACCAGTGGGGCCAGCTTCACCCTAAAAAAAAATGAGAATACATTACAGTATGAGAAGCCTACAACCGATACATCACTTTGTTCTGTGTGTGTAATTTTAAAAGCATATTTTCAAAGAGGACATATGAAAGATGTACTTTTGATATAGGATCTCAGAATGTTGTTTTATTACCTCTTCTCAAAATGCAATAGTAGTGTAGTTTTAAAGAAATACATCTAAAATAATATTGGGGACTTAAGATTGACGGAAACTATCATACCTAGCCACAGTAACTAGTCTCAGGAAAGGACTTATCTGGCTATGTCTGATACGTCTCAAGTAAAACTTTACAAAGCTAAAATTGATTGTAACACTATCTTAAGATCTATTCTAGGAGACTTAGAAATAAAAAAAATTTTAAAGCCAAATGATTTTCCACATTAGGTCATGATGCTTTCCACTAGAAATTCCTTTATACTTCCTTGATGTTTTTTCTCCCTGTAGAAATACAAATAAATTTTGAGAAGAAACAATGAGGAGAAGGTCTTGGTATTAAAGGGGTACTCAATAATGGGACTAATGAACTATCTAAACCTTTCAGATATTTTTTAAAAAGAAAAATGAATGATTGTATTTTAAAAGATAGATTCATAGTGCCATCTTCATATGAAGACAACACTCATCCTACACTGGCAGACACCCAGTGCTATGGAGGCTATTCTTGGAGGCATATCAAGTCATGTCATGGTAAAGCCATTGCCACTCATCTTTGAAAAATTATGTTTATTTACCTAACCATTTGTTTGTAGCCCTCTCTCCTGCTGAATTAAGGTGGTTCTGAAAAATGTGTAAACATTTGAAGCAAAACTAAGATGCCAAAGTGAGGTTACAGTGAGATAATTATAAGATTACCTTGGAACCAGGTGCTCCAACTTCACCTTTAGGGCCTTCAAGACCTTTGTGTCCCTGAGAATAAAAATGTAAATTTGTATTTGTATCCTGTTTTTTTCAATCCTCAAAGGCATAAGAACCAAAAATAAGCTTGCAGAAATTGCCTTATAAAAATGAATATCAAATTTAAAGTTGTTGCTCAAAATACTTTCAAATTCTCAAACTTTTCTGAAAGCTTATTCAAGGAAAATTAGAGTTTTCACCTTTAAATAACATTTTCAGCTTGCAGTGTTCTCACCCTTCAAACACTTGTGACTTCATAGAAATTTAATCTGTAGCTACAAATAAAAACCTTACAGTGGCTTTAGAGGAAACACATAACTACAGAGTTCATATTGTTATAAAATATCATTTGTATTCAAGGTGAATGTTCAAAATACTTAATAATGAGTATAGCAGCAGACATCTTAATCAAAATCTCAACTACTCAAAACAGAGGCCAGTGTATATTGATTGAATATCACTATTTGATATTATGATAGTTAGATAGATGATAGATTCTACATATGTAAACAATATATAATAGTTACATCGTAATTATCTTCAGTAATAAGGAAGGCATTCTATTGCTTTCCAAGTCTAGGTAGACTGGGTCCCTTCTGTGACCTAGTACTCTCTATCTCTACCATGTCACCTATTACACTATACAGGAATTGCCTACCTTTTCATCCGTATCCCCCATTAGCCTGAAGCTTCAGGCTAGAGATTTTTCTCATTCATCACTGTACCCTCTTTTGTAGCATAGTGTCCAGTACATAGTAAGAATTCAAAATATATTTCTTTATCAAATCAAATTAAACTCAAAGGAAATGTATTAAAAAATTGTGATTTCAGTAACCACAGATGAATACTGCAACCATAGACAGTTAAGGACAATTGACAAATTGACTTGTAAAGATTTTGAAGGTAAATCTCCCCAGAGCCTGTTCACTAAACCACAGTATCTGAGAGGATTACAATAGATTGAACTTACTCGGTGACCCTTCAGACCTGGAAGACCAGGAGCCCCAGGAAATCCACGAGCTCCCTGGGAGGAAAACATAGATAGGGCATTTTACAGTCATTAATAAGGATGCAAAATTCCTTAATATATCATTTTTTCCCAAAAAATAGCTAGTACACAGTTTTCCAGCAACATATTAAGAAGAACAAAAAAAAGCAGTATACTTTTATCTGTCAAAATATATCTGGGTGATCAAAATTAGCAAAGTAAATATGCTATTAGAAATGGAAACATGACTTATACAAGGATACAAAGTAATGCCAGGTATTGAGTTCATGACATTTTGAATTTTTCACATGATATCACTGTGTTATAATTAGTAGTGAAAACAAAACAAGAACATAAGCATGAATCAATATGTCCAACATGAGAATTGACTATACCAAGGTAGAAAAAAAATATTCAGGAGAGAAATTCAAGATAAAATATCCTTTTCCTTCTTTATTGTGCTTTATTTATGGTACACGATTAAATGTCTTTGTAGCAAACCAATGTCTTTATTTTCTATGAATTTCTGAATATTGGCAGCAGAATATGATGGGAAGAACAGTATTATAATGTGGTCAGGAATTTTTAAAATAAATTGTTTAGAAAAAAACTTTGTGGATTTATGATTATTTAAAAAACTAAATGAATAAACAAAATATCCAACAGAAAAGAAAGTCAAGAAATATGAGAATGCTTGGTTTCTTGACTAAATAATTACTTAATTTCTGCAAATTCTATGTAGCTTTCACCTAAACACATTAAATAAAAAACAATAGAAATACCATAGAAAATCAAATCCAGTGGCACAACTATTTTGAAATGATGCTTGAAACTTTTTCCTTATACTGTCTTAAAAGATACTAAGCTAATGACTTAATTATTTACTTATTATTATGGCCTATATTAATTTGATTTTGCATTGAATTGCCATTACCACTGCCGCCAGTATATTGAGCACCTTGATAGCATTGATTGATGTGATCACTTATTGATTATTATTCTTAATTTATGTATAGCTGGCACTTAGCCTTATGTTTGGTTAATGGACATTCAATGAATAATCACTGGATAAACAACTAAATAAAGAAATGGTTTGATATTTCTTACTCTCATAGCACTTTAACCTTTCCTAAGGAATTTCTCTTGGCCTAGCATGATCTTATACAGATAAAAAATCCTTCTGCTCTGCAAATCATAGGTTTCATTCACTATTTCTAAATGGTTGAATAAGCAACTCAATGGATGAAATTCATATAACAAAATCAAAGCAATAATTCGTCTGTGACCTCTTGAAAGAAAATTATTTCTTTAGTGTTTTAGAGGGTTATCACAGTAGGGGTAAAACAAATCATGCTCTCTGAACAAATGAAGTCCCATTAATTCTTCTGTTTACACAACCCCGCTCAAGAATTCTTTCACATCAAGAACTCCCTTTAAGTGTTCAACTTAATGCCTCATTTTACAGAGATTTGTCTCCTCTCCATCCTTAGCAGGCAACTTAGTGCAGACCCGTCTAAGCCTATAGGGGAATTGCTGAGCTATGTTATTTCAAATAATTAGTTAACTTCAGTTTTTATGGTCTGCAAGAGAAATTCTCATGTGATTACATATCCCTAATGTAACAAGAAAATGAACCAGATGTCCTAATGCTCATAAAAATTCTCATTCTGCTGACCCAGGACTGTCATTACAGTGCAATCACACATTGCACTGAGCTTGCACAGTGCATCTGTGGTGTGCTGGCAGGGCACCCTTCCTCCCCATGGAGGGCCCACACTGTGAGCATGAGCAAGAGTGCAGCAGGACATGGGAAGTTCAAACCTGGATGGGTTGAAAAGGACATCTGTGCTAATGACTAAACCTCATGTCTCTGTCTGCATTTATTTCCCAGGCTGATCGAGGAGGAAAGAAAGCAGGGAGTTGGGAAATTGGTTTATATTTGCAACCAAATAATCCTTTGAGCCTTGCAAATTTCCCTTAAAAGATAAGGGAGCATTCATTTGTTTAAAACATTTCCTAGCATTGAACCTCATCAATTTTCAGAAAGTAAACAGAAAGTAATGTGGTACTGTTGATTGTACTGAGTGGCAGAAACATAAGGAAATTATAGGAAATATAATAAATGGGAGAGTGAATGTTTAGGGGCTGTTGAGCAGGAGAAACCCAAGAAGTAGGAATGTTTGAAGAGGACTTTTGCTTGCTTATCATACTCTAATTTTCCCCATGGCCAGCGTAACACATTCTAGAAGAGGGCCTAGCAAAGCAATTTGAGTGACAAGAGACAGGTGGGTTCAGAGAACGGCAAAGGGGCCAGGTCTTGGATTCTGGTGGAGTAGTTGCCAGGAGTCTATTCTTTTAGGGAGCCAAAGGGGAAGAAAACAGCTATGTTAGGAGAGCTGGAAATCAGTGTAAATTGTCATGATTTTAGGACCCAGAACATTAATCAAGAATTTCAGCCAAAATTAGGGTTTGGGGAGCAGCCAAAGAAGCATCCCATCCATAATTTACTGTCTCTAGTTGATAAAAAACAAGGCAACAAGCTTTTCTTCAAGCTATTATTTAGACATATGTGACAATATAAAGTAAAAATATTAAAAAGATTTTAAAGAGCTAAAATAGGATTGAAGTGTGAATTGTAAACAGGTCAAGCTGGTAACTCATTTTATGAAAAAAAAAAAACTATTTTTTTCTGAATTTTCTGAGGATTTGAAACTCAGTTTGGAGAGCATTCATGTTATGTTCAATATACTTCTCTAGCTCCAGAAGGCTTATTTATGGTGCCAATGCAAAGCAGACAACTGGAGTTAACAATCACTCTGGCAAAACGTCCTGTGACATTTTACATTTTTACGGAAACAAACAATGCTGTTTGTCTCCATTTACTTAGTGCCTGATACATGTGCATACAGAGAATTGTGATTTAATTCAATGTTCTTTATTTTTCAAAGTTTGCCTTTATGTTGAGTATAAACTTACCGGAGATCCTGCAAATCCCACTTCACCAGGATTTCCATTTCTGCCAGGTTCACCCTTTATGGAAAAAAATGTAGGAGATTGGGAAGGCAAAAGTGATTAAAAGGTTCTTCTCTGAAACTAAATGATAAATAAATTACTAATAAAACAGTCTTCTTTAGAAAGCTAATGTACAATTCTCTAAACAGTGCAAAAAATAAAGTAAAAATAGGCTCTATTCCTTATATTCCTGATAGTACTCCATTCTATCAAGTTAGTCTGTGGCTTTCATTAATTTACCCAGAAGAATAAATTGTTGAAAATTTTCTTGGTCTGATGTAGCTCACTATTTTATGAACATCAAAATTTATACACATAAACATACATGTATGCTATAGGATATATACTATAGAATTCTATATGATCACATGACACTGAATTAAAGTATTGCTTCTTAAAATACTACTTTCCATTTCTTTCCTGTGGTTAAAAAGAAAAGACTATCAGAAATATGTGCTCTATGTCCAAATTCAATGTAACCTGTTTAAATAAATCTTATGACTCATAAAGAGAAAATATTTATTAATACTTGGTTTAGTATCATATAGAAATTAATGGCCTACCCATAATTTGATCCTCAACTTTGGTACAACTAAGAATCTAGAAATGTAAGTCTGCTATTGCACACTGTTCTCTGATTACATGTTCTTAATGTTAAAATCTGGAGTTGGGTCTTAACTTTAATTAAAAATCCAATTGAAGAAATCATTTTTTCATCATTGGGGAGCCATATTGGCACTATACTACTAACACGTTTTAAAAATTCCTTTTAAATAAGACCTCATAATGATGTATTGCCATCAGAGCAACATATTTTTTCTTTCAGGTAATTTCAGTGGTTCCACTAGGAAAAGTTGTTGCTACTGTGACAACAAGCCTAGCATCTAATGGAGAAATCTTAACAAAAACCCAGGGAATTCAGGAAGAGACAGTAGTACCTAATAACATAATACTACGCAAATTAAGAGCCCTTTTAGATATTTGTAAAATTCCATTCTGAGTGCTCCTGTTTACATTGAATTTAATGCAAGCTAAAAGGGTGGGGAAATGTAATGGAAATTAATACAGAACATTCTTGTTAACATTTTAACCCCTTCGCCTCTTCAAAACCTGAATGGAAAATGAGGAAAGGTAGCTTACATCTTCCCCAGGTTTACCAGGAGGGCCCTCTGGTCCACGTGAACCAATCGGACCCTAATAACAGAACAAAACAAAAGGAAAAAAAGAATATTTACCTTTACTTGCCAGTAATACAATTCAAAACATTATTGAGACAAATGAAATGTCAAACTATTATTGAAACAAATGAAAATGATAAATATTGTTGAGACAGAGAAAATAGTTTTATTAAAGTTTTGAATTTTATGTTGCATCCCCAGATCATGTGCTCAACAAGAAGTATAATTGCACAAAAGCAAATCGCTCAGCACTGTCTAATGATCATAATCTTTGAATGTAAATATTCTTTGAATTTTTAAATTTAAATTTAAATAAATAAATTTAAATAGTCTTTGAATTTAAATATTCTGCTATGAGAAACATATAGCTTAAGAACAGTTCATAGAACAGGACTCCCAAACTGGATTGTTATTTCTTCCTACATTAGGGAGGACCTGGGAAGATAAATAACTCAATATTTGACATCATTATAATGGTGGACCCAAATGTAACTGGGTCTACATGCTTACTTGACATTTACCATTGGTCCAGGATCACCAGGTTCACCAGGAGGTCCTGTAGGTCCTGCACCACCCTACAGTTGAAAACAAAGTATATATACAAACCAAGGAAAAATAGAATATTAAACCCTGTACTCTGTCAATATACAGTGTAATTGTTTAGACAGTTGGCTCTGCCATCTTCCAGCTGTGTGACTTTGGGCAAGTTACTTAATCTGTCTGTAACTGTTTCCTAATGTGTAAAATCAGAATAATATTGGTACTTACTTTATTAGGCTGTTATGGCTGCTGAAGTAATTAATGTATGTTAAGAACCTAGAATAGTGCTGGCACAGTGTGTGAGTGCTCCATCAATGGTAGTTCTCCTCATCAACATCATCATCATCACCATCATCAACCACATTTTCTAGTCACTGATAGCTTGAAGTAAAACTCCACACACATGACAATGACAATGTGGTAACCTTGACTGAACTAAAGGTTATTTTCATTCTTTCTTTTAAAATATTATTTCCTGATGCCTGTTAAATTGCTATAATAAATAAAAATAGTTCTACATCACTATTTTACTGGCATCTGATAGGCATTTTAAAAGCATATTGTATTATATTCTTCCTAAAGATCCCATGGAACAAACATCTTGATTCTTATTTCTAATAATACTACACGGGGATTGCCTCCTATGATCTGATTTCATAGCTTCAGAGTTGGCATATAACCAATTGTGAACATTTTCATGACATAACATAATGAATTTCTTACTTCAGATGCAAAGTCATGTAATTTTGTTATCGAAGGTCAGTCACATAAAGAAATCAGATGATAAAAATTTATCCCAATAAACTTTGCAAAGACATGTGGCATATATTTCTAAATAAAAACTATTTAATATATCCTGTTTGAAGTGAGCATTACAATATAAAATTTTAAAACCAGCCAAAAGCAGTCATGTCACAGAGACCTTATGTAATATATGTGTGTGTGTATGTTTTTCTTACAGCATGTAATTAATTATAAAGAGACTTACTTGCTGTCCTTGTAAACCCTGTGGTCCCCTTGGGCCAACAGGACCCTTAAAAACAAATGAGGAGAAACGTTGCAAAGTACTCATGACAATTAGGTCAAATATTTCAAAAATGTTGAATCATCTCTAGAATCTGGAAAAGTGAAGTTTTGACAAAGGGGGATGATGACATTCTCCATCTGTACTCATTTGGAAGGCAGCTAAATTCAAGGAGATTAAAGCTTGGACAACATTTGGGATGATTTTATACATAACTTCAGTGTTATAAAGAGAAATGAGCCATATGTCTGTACACACCCAATGTCTTTAGAACAAGAACACTTGCATGTTTAATGGATGGTTCTGTTAAGTAAGAACATCCGAATAAAGAAAAATCTTGGCTGACATAAGTTAGTTCTCAAACTTCCTATTTAATTCTTCAGATTCACAGCAGATAATTCTTATAACTTAAATAAGTTGAATTAAAGGTTTATGAAACATCAACAATAATGACTAGATTATATTAAATGTGAGTTGAAAACGATTTGGGGCACTGAGTTTCCTGGGTGATTTCTTTCTTTCACAACATAGATTGAAACTATCCACACAGGCTTTCCTCATTTAAACATGAAATCGTTCCACTGAGGCATAACAAAAGGAAGAAAACAAAAATGCGATTTTAGAACATTTATTATTATATGTATATTACTATTTTTTAAATATCATACTTTAAAAAGTAAAATAAATTAAAATCAAATTTATTCTTTTTGGATTTTTTTTTAGACGGAGTCTCCCTCTGTCACCCAGGCTGGAGTGCAGTGGCGCGACCTGGGCTCACTGCAAGCTCCACCTCCCGGGTTCACGCCTCAGCCTCCCAAGTAGCTGGGACTACAGGCACCTGCCACCATGCCCGGCTAATTGTTTTGTATTTTTTTTTTTTTTTTTTTAGTAGGGACAGGGTTTCATCGTGTTAGCCAGAATGGTCTCAATCTCCTGACCTTGTGATCCGTCTGCCATGGCCTCCCAAAGTGCTGGGAGAACAGGCGTGAGCCACCGTGCCTGGCCAAAATCAAATTTATTCTTATGGCAAGATTTTAATTTTTTATTTTGAATGGAACATATAGTAAGAAAAGCTCCATTTAAAAAAAACCACACATATGTAATTTAAACTCCAAATGGATAAAAACATGCAACTCAAAAAAAAGTTCCCAAAAGAATCACTAAATGATGCCATATTACTAGTAACTTTAAAAATATACAAATAATATTTAAAATGCTCACAACGCTGGCCTTAAGGATGGATAGAAGGGGTGGTTATCTATGAGGTCTGATTTTGCACTTCTTATTGCCTGAAATGCTATTAACCTGGAATTATTTTGAACTATGCTATGAGCAATAAAACATGGGAGAGTTGGTTTTAAAAGTGTTAATTTATTCAATAAAATTGGATTGCTCCAAATATCCAGGAAAAAAATGGGAGTCTTTCTGATGTTGAAGAAATTCAAAAGAGGGTAAGAATATTGAGAAGACTCAGCCAGGAAACCATAGAGCTGTTGGAATAAGGCAGCCAGAGGATATTAAGTAGAAAATAATAAAAATGAAAATAGCAAAACATCTCATTTCAAAATTTTACCAAACCACTGTTTCTAAGAGCACCATAAAATAGTTCTGCTTTTTATTTATAAAGGTTTAGGTTTTACTATTGTGGCTGTGGTTATATGTCTTAAACTCCTTTATTTTCTTCCAATATTAAATAAAATGTACAGATAGACCTTTATTAATGTCAGCACTTTGCATAATTATGAATGAAACACACTGGGCTTTTAACTGGCATACAGTAGAGTAAATAAGTTAATTAAATGAATGAATGAATGAATGTACGACTGTGTTTAAGAAGATGCATGTTATTCTTTGACTAGTTAACTCAAGATTCTCTTTTTAAAATAATTTTTTTCACTGAAGTACTTCAATGATCAGTAAAATTTATGCTTACCACAGAGCCAGGCATTAGTCCTACTTGACTCCCAAGTCCAGATTTTTCATCCAACCCAGCCATTTGAGCTGAAAACGGCTGTAAAAGCGATATGTTGACATTATTTCTACAGTAAAAGACATACATCAACGTCCTTTTCATATGGATAAATGTACACTCTCTAGAATTCTTATAGAATGACTCTTCTGAGAATCATTCTAAGTGCTTGACTTTAAAGCCTGGAAAAAGACTTAAGTTGCTTTGATTGTTTGTGCTTTTTATTGACCATTCTTTCCCAGAGTATTGTATAAGTATGTTGCTCCAGAGCAGTTTCTGAAACAGGGCAAATGTCTGATACTTGATAAAAGCATGGATTGTTCTGATAAGCACTAGCCAGTCTAATTGATTGCAGGTTTAAGTCTCTTTAACTGATTTCTTCCCACAGTTAGAGATGCCAAACATCTAAACAAAGCCTAAAAGATGCCTTTAAAACATTTGTCCTAAAGATTCCAGATTCCATTTTGGACTGTTTTTGGATGATATTCTTTCTTTGTTCAATGCCCAGTAAACTTTAAATTACATTTATGTAAGTTGATAACACTTTTATAGTCCTTTTAATGAATCCCTGAATGTTCCAAGTTTGGAAACAGTTTGACCTACTCTCTTTCACAATTAAAAAACCCTAGTAATCAAACTGACCAAAATTGTTCATATACATTTTAGTAGTCACATTAGTTTCCAAATTTTGTTAGGAAAGAATGTGTGTACTGTTTATAAATAAATTGGCAATTTATTCTACAATCTGTTGAGAAAAATGTGTATGAACTTTTGTAAAGCAAAAATCATATTCAGGCTTCATATGTTTCCTTGTTAAGGTCTCAATCTACAGGCATGCCTCATTTTACTGTGCTTTACCAATATTATGTTTATTACAAATTCAAGTCTTATGGCAACCCTGCACCAAGCAAGACAACCGGTGCCATGTTTGCAATAGCATGTGTTCACTCTGTGTCTCTGTGTCACACTTTGGTAGTTCTCATAATACTTTAATATTATTATTGTTCTTATTATATCTGTTATGATGATCTGTGTTCAGTGATCTTGATGTTACTAAAGTAGTTGTTTTAGGTGCCTTGAATGATGCCCATACAAGACAATAAACTTGATCAATAAATATTGTGTGTGTTGTTCTACCAACCGGGTGTTCCCCATCTCTCTTCCTCTCCATGGGCCTCCTTATTCCCTGAGACACAACAACATTAAAATTAGGTCAATTAATAACCCAACAATGGCCTCTAAATGTTCAAGTGAAAGAAAGAGTCTCACATCTCTCACTTTACATTGTAAGCTAGAAATGGTCTAGTAAGGAAGGCATATTGAAACCCAAGATAGGCCAAAGCTAGACCTCTTGCAGCAAACAGTCATCCAACTTATGAATGCAAAGGAAAAGTTCTTAAAAAATTAGAAGCACTACTTCAGTAAACACACAAATAATAAGAAAGTAAAACAGCCTTAATGCTAATATGGAGAAAGGTTTAGTAGTCTGGATAGAAGATCAAACCAACCACAACATTATCTTACCCAAAATCGAATCTAGAGCAAGGCCCTAACCCTCTTCAATTCTGTGAAGGCTGAAAGAAGCAAGGAAGTGGCAGAAGAAAAGTTGGAAGCTAGAAAATGTTGGTTTATGAGGTTAAAGGAAAGAAGCCATCTCCATAATATAAAAATGCAAAGTGAAGCAGCAAATGCTGATGTAGACACTGCAGCAAGTTATCCAGAAGATCAAGTTAGCATCATTGATGAACGTGGCTACACTCAACAATAGACTTTCAATGTACACAAAACAGCCTTCTGTTGGAAGAAGATGCCATCTAGGACTTTCATGTTTAGAGAGAAAAAGTCCATGCCTGGCTTCAAAGCTTCCAAGAACAGGCTTATTCTCTTGTTAGGGGTTAATGCAGCTGGAGACTTTAAGCTAAGACCAGTGTTTATTTCTTATTATGGAAATCCTAGCATCCTTAGGAATTATGATAAAACAACTCTGCCTGTACCCTATAAATGGAACAACAAGGCCTGGATAACAGCACATCTGTTTACAGCCTTTACAGCATTGTTTACTGAATATTTCAAGCCCACTATTGAGACCTATTGCTCAGAAACAAAGGATTCCTTTCAAAATATTACTGCTCAGTGACAATGCACTAGGTCACATAAGAGTTCTGATGGAGATATACAAGGATATTAATGTTGTTTTCATGCCTGCTAATACAAAAACCATTTTGCAGCCCATGGATATAAATAAATTTCAACTTTTAAATCTTATTACTTAAGAATATAATGTTCAAAGTAAATTGAGAATCTTCTGGAAAGGATTTATCATTCTAGGTGCCATTAAGAACATTCTTAATTGATTGGTGAAAATATAAGCCTCAAGAGAAGTTTGGAAGAAGTTGATTCCAACCTTCATGAATGAATTTTAGTGGCTGAAGACTGCATTGGGGGAAGTAATTGCAGATATGATGGCAATAGCAACAGAACTAGAATTATAAGTAGAGCCTGAAGATGTTGCTTAATTACTGTAATCTCATAATAAAACTTTAACAGATGAGGACTTGCTTCTTATGAATGAGCAAAGAAAGTCGTTTCTCAAGATGCAGTCTATTCCTGGTGAAGATACTGTGAAGATTGTTGAAATGACAACAAAGGATTTTGATATGGCAAACTTCATTGTTGTCTTATTTTTTAAATTACCATAGCAATTCCAGGCTTCAGCAATACCACCCTTATTAGTCAGCAACTATCAGCATCAAAGCAAAACACCCTATCAGCAAAAAGATTATGGCTTGCTGAAAGGTCAGATGATTATTAGCAATTTTTAACAATAAGGTATTTTTAATAAAGAAATATACCTTGTTTTTTAGACATAATGCTATTACACACTTTATAACAGACTATATTGTGGAAAAACATAAGTTTATATGCACTGGGAAACAAAAAAAAATTCACATAACTCACTTTACTGCAGTATTTCACTTTATTGAGGTGGTTTGGAACTGAACCCACAATATCTCCATGGTTTGCCTGTACTTATAAATCCCCTATGTCTGACATTAACAATTCAAAGAAGTCGGTATTGAAAGGCTTTTTGTTTGACTTTACTTCAAGTAAAAAAACTAAAATTGAAGAAATAATTAGGTGTCATTTTTAGTGTCAACTCAATGGCCTTCTCATATCCCTCATCATGGATGTGTCATCCTCTCTTGTGGAGGATACGGAGCAGATTTTTTTGGCATTCTGAGCCTAGAGAATAGGACAGATAAATCTCTCATTTCATTTAAAGAGGGGGAAAGCAGTGGTTCTTTAGAATCAATAGAAAAAACAAAGCACATAGAGTCTAGAGCTGACATTGAGAAATACAAACAATTTGAAGCAGTACTTTAGAAAATACTTCTTCCAATTTTTCCAACAATTCCCTGTGGGTTTATTAGTTCTACTGTCCATAGCAGTGTTGACCTTATTTAACTGCTCTTACAGTCAAGTGTCAATATCTGAACAGACACAATTTAAAATCCTAACAATATATCAATAATTTAAAACATGACCTGTACGTGACATCAAACAATGCACACAACTCACCCTGCTCAAGCCATCGGGTCCTGGGTGGGACGGATGTCCAGGAGGTCCTGGAGCACCAGGTTGACCAGGAACACCTGGTTCTCCATCAATTCCCTGAGGTCCACGAGGGCCCTGGAAAACAAGCCAGTTAAAATTAGAACCCACTGCCAAATATACACTTAGTAGAAAGCTAAAGGCACAGACTTCTTAATGGCAAGGGAGTGTTTATTATTTTAAAAATACATGGCAATCTAGCCACTTAGAGTAATTTCATCAGCCATGTCACTACTGATTTCAGCATAGGTCTGAACTTCTACCATTCGGATGTGGTCTGGGTAAGAATTTTATGTGGTGTGTTAAATACCCAGAAATCAGCATTCTTAGAATAATTATTTTTAAAATTTTCAGTTCAACAGTATTCTAAAGTGAACTTCCTTATTTGATTGAGTTTTTGCCGTGCAAGGGTATTTGATCAACAATTATAAATTCACTTGTCTGTCACTGAAATTACAGTGGATTGTCATTGGATTACAGTTAACTATGTATACGTCTGCTTAACTTCTCCCTTCCCCCCAAAATTCAAGAATCCCTTGATTGGAGTTTGTAGAGATTTTCTGTCTAATTGTTTAATGCTTTGCATAGTTCCTGGTACATACTAGACACTCAATACATGCATATTATATTGTTACCTTTCAGTCCTCTTTAATACTTTAAAGCCTGGCACACTTTATTTTACTTCCCACCCCCAGAGGAAGACTAGACCATTGAGAAATTAGAGGCAAAGGCACTGTGACCCAGCCAAGTCTAAGTTCTCAGAGAAGTGAGCAATGATTTCTAGCTGCCAAATTCCACCCTTCTCCTAACCCACATTCTGAAGGCAGCTTGGGGAACAGCCACGTCCTCAGTTCTGGAAATGCTCCGTCCTCTAACCTCATCATTCCCACAAGGCTAGTTAAGTATTTTCTGGCTCCTTAACCCTAAAGAATCTTGAAAGGCTTCAAAAAGAAAGGACCAAAAAGTCATCAGGCAATATGCTTTTTATAATTATAAGCAGGGATCAAGGGAAATATGGTAAATGAAGTTTAATAGTTAAAAAAAGAACTCCCATGCTTAAACATGAGAATACCTATGGGACCACAGTAAGCAATTCAAATAGGAGCTGATAGTGCAGAGGGAGCAAACACAGGACAAGCTCAGGTGGTGGAGGTGGCAGTTTGTATATGATGGTTTTGGGGAGGGTGGCATCATAGCTATTCAGAAATTTAATTATTTTAATATATTTAAACATTTATATAGACATATTTACTTCTTGCAGTAGTGGGACAAACAAGCAAATTTATCTATTAAATAGAAGTAGAATACTTAGCCTGAAAAACTTATATTTAAAAATGATATCTTAGAAAATTATTCTCAGTTTTTAAAAATCAAAACTTTTCTGACTCCTAAACTACTAACAATTTACTTCACACTTCATTATACACAACAGAGGCTGATTTCAATTGTTCTCTAGGACTCCTGGATCATATGAATGAGAGTAACATGAACTGGATATGTATATGACAGCACAGACAAAATAATAGTCTGGTTTATTCATACAGCCTTGTGTAGAAAACTCTGATTCTGTTCTTGCAATGCTCAGTTGCTAATTAATAACCAGATATTATTACATACAAAAAGTGAACTAATGCATAATCTCTGCTCCCAATGAGAGTTCCAAAGAGACATACACAAAACTATATTTATTGTCAACAGGAGTGGAGATAAGTTTGAGAAATATTCATTAGTCCTCCAAAGAGATTGTGACTTTCTCCATTCTTCTGTAATTAACACTTCGTATTTCAAAGTCTGATCCTAAGATTGTTTTCATTGACTTCAGATTCATTATATGTCTCCACGGAATGCCCTCTAAATAGCTTATGAAATTTACTGTTGCACAGATTAAGATTAAAATTAATAAAAACGTCTATAAAAATTATCTAAAATTAAGTGAACACAAGAATGTTTACCGGTAAATATCAAAAGCAAATTAGAATTTGGGAGCTCATTAAAAGTATCTATTTTTATATCTCCAAGTGAGCTGAATTACATAATTCTTATATTAAGGTAAATGTTACATTTATTATCATTCCCTTCCATTTCCAAGATACTCAAATACCTCCGCAGTAATCTACAATAAAAAAGTACTTTGAGGTTGCCACTAGGTGGCGATGTTTAAACATCCACAAGTAGAAAAGACGAATGACCGGGAACTGTTAAAGAACTTCATTTCTCTCGTTTCTCTCTCTCTCTCTTTCTCTCTGACACACACACACACACACACACACACACACACACACACACACACACACACACACACACATAAATGTTATAGATGTTAAGATCTAGTATATTTCCCATTTTACAGATCAAGAAACATACCAATAGTGGTTAAGTGTCATGTGCAACTAGAACTTAGCACATCATTGACGGTCCATCTCCTGACAGTTTGCTAGCTTGTCACTATGAAGTTATCTGAACAATACACTTAAAACTGAGGACGTGTGATGAGAGACAGTCATGAAAATCATTGGCTAATCCTGAAGGTCTTGTAGGAGTATCTCATACTGAACTACTGACATACTAGTTCTCAGTCCAGAGCTATTTTGCCTGGATTTGGCAATGTCAAGAAACATTTTTAACTGTCACAATTGTATGGGGGATGGCAGTTTCAACTGGCATCTAGTGGGTAGATACCAGGAATGCCGCAAAACTTCCTACAATGCATATGGAATTATTTGGCCTAACATATCAATAGTGTTAACAGTGAGAAACCATGCTGTACATTGTGAGCCTTCCGTACTGTTTGATGGTAATATAATGGTGGGGGTGGGGGAATGCTATTTATGATATTGTGACAGCCATAATTTTAGTCCAGCTAAGCAGCTCCCAGAAGGCTTGAGACATGAGGCAAAACATTCTACCTATGGGCATTCTGTTACATCATGCCCATCATTTCATATACATCATTTCATGCAAAGCTATACATCATTTCATATCTTGAAATCGGTGTAGGCAGGCATTAAAAGATTTGTTAAACACTTACCATCACACCAGTTCTTTGCTAGGATTAAGAGAGGAACAGATTTCCTACTTGGATATCTGCCAGGGTTGTCTCACTTGATTCCTCCTAAAAATCTACCCCCCTTTCTCCCTCTCTCTCTCTCGCTCTTTCATACACACACACACAAACACACACACACAACACGCACACACTTATACCCAATTCACATTGATTGTCTCAGGCCTAACCAAGACAGGAAATTGACCACATCACAAAGTCAAATAGGGAAAATAAGTGAGAAGGGTTGGGGAGTAGATTCTTTGGATCTTAACCAGGAACTCTGGAAGTCTGGTCCTACAACAACTTCTACCTAGACTTAGGACCCAATGTTATCAATTACTTACAGTGTACAAATACACCAATGCAAAATCTTTTTTTTTTTTTCTGTCACGACCACCCATCCTCCACCCAACTGATGTTATTTTCTACCTATTTCTGTCTTTCTAGATCTAGGAGAGACATCTGGAGACCTACAGCAGTGTTTAAGCTACCAACACTAGTGAGAAAACTCAATACAACCACAGTGAAGAATGGGGCATATAATAATCTGGACACACCCCAAGATATGGCCAATCTCTTGGGGCACTGCTTTGCACCTACATGCCTGCAAGTAACATCCATAGTGCAGCCCC
Source organism: Homo sapiens (assembly GCF_000001405.40). NCBI lineage: Eukaryota > Metazoa > Chordata > Mammalia > Primates > Hominidae > Homo > Homo sapiens. The sequence continues at coordinate 189,096,021 of NC_000002.12, forward strand.
GTTTAAGAAAAAGTACTGACATCACACTATATATGAGGTGAAATGAGTAGAAGGATAATGTAGTAACAAGAATGAAACTAGTGGCAAGAGTTCCTAGGCATATGATCTAAAATATATTTTATCCTCATTTATATATTCAAACTTGTCTGCTGTTTGCTTATCTTCTAATCCTCCCATTTAAATATGGATAAATATATATTTAAAAGGATAAAAATCTACTGAGAGTTTTAATAGATACATTAGAGAAAAAATTAAACAGTACAAACAAAATTTTCTAATTGAAACATGGGATAATGGGAGCAATATACAAATGAATACAGTTATTTAGTATATGAAAGACATTAGATTTTAGAAGTGATACATAAGAAAAAACGTTGTAGGGAGGCCGAGGCGGGCGGATCACATCCTGGCTAACACGGTGAAAACTCGTCTCTACTAAAAAATACAAAAAATTAGCTGGGCATGGTGGCGGGCAACTGTAGTCCCAGCTACTCGGGAGGCTGAGGCAGGAGAATGGCGTGAACCAGGGAGGCGGAGCTTGCAGTGAGCCGAGATCACACCACTGCACTCCAGCCTGGGTGACAGAGCGAGACTCCGTCTCAAAAAAAAAAAAAAAAAGAAAAAAAAAGTTGTAACTCTAACACTTGAGAACAATATGTATTCTGTGCAGATAGGTAATAAAAGAAAACCTTTGGTATATATTATATAATATCCTCATGTTTTATCTCAAAGATATTGAGGTCACTATTTTATTGTAAAGGTATTTCACTTGTCTAGTAATGGGATTGCTGATTTTTAAAACTACTCCTTTGCTATCTCTGCAGTGGCTGCTGAGTGAAAAAGGCGGAGTGCTACCTGGGAAATAAACTTGTTGTGCAACCACTTGAAAGAAAATTTTATCCTCTAACAATTTTTTCCCGTATCCAGCTTGGTTATTCCTGTGGCAACCACAGATCATATAACTTGGATGTTTTATCTCAACAGTGCATTCTTGGCATTGCTTACTCATGAGTGAAACTCATGACATGTTAACTATGCTTCCTTAAGTTCTACTTTATTTTGATTTGACCTCATAAGGGACAAGGAAATATCATTTGTGTTATCTAATAAGATAATATACAATTATTATTGTATTTTTGTAAAATTTAATGGAGGTGAAAGAGGAATAGTGCTCCCAGCTTCTTGCTGCATTCAGAGAACACAGTGTAAACTGACTGGCTGTACGTTCCCCACAAGGAGCCCTCCTGTCAACTTACAGGTCTTCCTTTTGGCCCTCGCTCTCCTCTTGGTCCCTGTGATCCTGGAGGTCCCTAAAACAGAAAATGATGATTATGCATGCAAAAATGTATACTTTCTTATTGAATTTTTAAAAGTCTACTTGATAAAAGAAAATTGGAAAACAGAAATACCACACTTAATTCAGTTCAGTTGAAGACTATAGAGAATAAAGCCATGTGCATATAAAAGTTCTGTACGCTTAGAAGCGTTGTTTATGTTATCAGTGACATTTAAAGACCTATGAAGAACTAGGTGCACATTATGGCATCATGGAGCATAGTGAGCTAAATAGATTAGCTTGACTAGTAATTGCAAATTTTTAAGGATCATATTTGCTGTCTTCTCCCAGGTAAAGCCTTTGCCACTAAACTCTGAGCACAAAAACTTACAATTCTGATTTTGAAAATTACATAAATGTGCAAAATACAAATTATCAATTATTCCAGGGACTGTATGAAATCAAATTGGTACATGATACCCCAAAATGTTCATCACTGTTCAAGTTGCTGATAAAAGCAATGGAAAGGAAAGCCTCTTAGCCTACTACAGTACTGCTTTATGTACACTCAAGCATCTTTTCTTTTTACTTTACTTAGAATATTGCATTACTTCCCTTGTATGTTTAAAACCCACTTAGAAATTTCCAAATCTTAATTACAGTTACTTTTCCCTTAAATAACAAATGACTATTATATTTCAAAAGTGGTGTTATTGTGCTGATATCTTAAAATGTTTTTCCCCCCCTGGGAAATGGCTGTTGCCAGGGGGACTTTGTTTCTCTTTAAAAGAGGATTTAAACTGAGTTATGAAGATTATATTGTGTATTTACTCAACCCAACATATAGCATCGTTTAAAAGTGAGGGCTTCAGAAGAACCAGAGTGAGTCCATTAAAGCTAACTTAGTATTTTAAGCTGATTTGATGTGTTTAACATTTACATGAAGTGTGTGTATATGTTATGAATACTGCTGATAATCCAAACTTGAAAAAATTAATCTTTTATACTAAGCCATAAATATGCTCTCCTGCTGTATGATTTCTCAAATTCTACTGCAATATATAATTTTATTAAGCAGATAAAACTAGCCTACCATTAATCATAGTCAAACAACACACAAGTATGCCCTAATTTCAGTGAACAAAGTCACACTAAAATTAACAAATGTAACAATAAAGTGTTTTGTCTTTTACATAACCAATAGCAAGACTAACATAATGTTTCTTCAGTTTCAGAATAAAATGATCCCTTATCTACCATTCATTGCTGCAAAGCAATGTCTAACTTGAAGATGGTTTAAGACAAAATGTTTTAAGAGACCAAGTATCATTGTTTAATTCTTTTATCTTCTCATGGATATAATATCTGTAAAGATTTTCAGTATCTCAAGGAATACAAGAGTACCAAGAATATTGGGAGAAACTACTTACTGCCGGTCCTGGACGACCACGTATGCCTGTTACCTAAACAATAAACAAGAAAATTTGTAAAGGTAAAGTTTCTGCAGATATTCAGAGAGGTCAATAGTAACAAATAAGAATAACAACAAAAACCACAGTAATTTTTTTAACAAATGGATGTTGTCAATTGATGACCATTTCCTCCTCTCCTTAAGATTTAAGATATTATCTAGTTTTAACTAATATAGGGAGGCAGTGCTGGCGTAATGATAAAGAGCACCAACACTGGAGCCAAGGGGCCTGGGTTCAAATCCCGACACTACCCTTTACCAGATGTGTGACTTTGGACTAATTACTTATCCTCTCTGTTCTTAAGGATCTTAAGTGGAAACTTAAATGTAAAATGGTAGTGATGATTAGGTAATTACCTCCCTCATAGAGTTATGAAGACAAATAAATAAATATTTGTATTTGTAAAGCACTTAACACCTAAGACATAGTAAGCACACATAAATGCTTTTTAAAATTAAATAAAACAATATGAATTATTTAAGTTTTAGGTAATCTTCGTTAAAAAAACAAGCCAATTAAAGGCAAATAGAGAATGTAAACACTGCTAAATAAATCAACATGCATATTCTTTTTGTCTTGACAGACTGATGATAACACCTTTAAAACTTAGGAGAATGAGGCCAAGGTGGGTGGATCACTTGAGGTCAGGAGTTGAAGACCAGCCCGGCCAAACTGGTGAAACCCCGTCTTTACTAAAAATACAAAATTTAGCCAGGCATGGTGGCTCTTGCCTGTAGTCCCAGCTGCTCGGGAGGCTGAGGCACAAGAATCACTTGAATCTGGGAGGTGGAGGTTGCAGTGAACTGAGATTGTGCCACTGCACTCCAGCCTGGGTAACAGAGCGAGACTCTGTTTCAAAAAAATAAAAATAAAAAATAATGAAACCTGACAGAACGACAGTTGAAGAGCTTTAATCCTGTTTAGTAACATACTTCTTGATCCATTTACAAGTTTAAAGAAGTCTTAGGAATTCTTATGCAACAGGGAATTTTGCTCAGGATCAGGGCATGATGTATTTCCAGAAGTGTGGAATAATAAACTACTATACTAACTAGTACTAATATTAACTATCAGTGTATATCCACATGTAATATATTTAACTTTTTAAAACAATGACTTTCTACCTTTAGTCATGGGACTATAAAAGTCAGGAACACAGAATATCAAATATTGTATTAAATAACTAATCTGTTCTGGTTTGCTTGTGTTATACTAAAAACTTGTTTTTAAAATAACTAATTTATTTTTGAAAGTATGTACATAAGCAATAATATACAATTATACTATAAGCTAAGTTTATTTAAGGTACAAGGAAACAATGATTATACATATACTTACAACAGGCACTAATCCTGGTTCTCCCTTTTGTCCCTGTGACATTAAAAACAATTCAAAAATTCAATTAGCACAATATAATGGCTTGCTGGGCAAAAACATGTCACCCTAGAATATGCCATGTAAACACAGGGAATTTCTATGTAAGAAATGCAAAAAACTACAAAAAGAAAGTTAACAATTTTTAGGATATTTAGTCAGATATTACTCATTAAAATATTACTGCTCACCTGAAAGACATAAAAAAATCCAGCGTGTGAAATATGTAAAGCTATTTTGCTTCAGTTTCCACATAGATCAAATCCAAAGAGTTGACTAGAGCACAAAATAGTTGCAACAAAAAGATGTAAAGACAAAGCACCAGAGGAAAAACTACTGAAAGACTGAAAACACAAAAAGAGCCAGAAATTGTAATACATAAAAATTAATATAAATTAATATATACAAATTTTCACACTTTTATCATATGACACATAGTTTTCAGGATCTAATCAGATGCCATTCCTGAACTACTAGCACCCTTTTTTAGTACTCATGGAAGGGCATTAAAAATGAGTACATGTGCTCATCTTTAATAAAAAGAAAGAAAAAAATAATAATTCCACTCAGATGATTCTCAATACCTGAAGAAAATCTAGGAAAAAAAATCAATTGACTAAGAAAATCAAAAACAACATAAGAAACTATCATGTAAGTAAATAGGGTCAGGTCAATATAATTGCTTTTATAATAGATATAGCAAATGTAATAGATGTAGATAGAATTTATTTTGTTTCTTAGAACTTTTCTCAGAAATGGAATCCTCATTGCATGATATCAGGTACATAGATTAAATAATATTGGATGAATTGTAGCTTTATCTATTTCTACTTAATCATTTACTAATTTGTATTCTTCATTTCAAAATTTGTCTTCGAACAGATTTTGGTCTCCTCAAAGTCATGGTTGTGTCTTAGTCTACTTCACATGCTCAGCATAGCAAATGGAAGCATTCAATGAATTTTTAAAATGTATTACTTTCCATTAATATATTAAGAAATAATGCTTTTTACTGGGCAATTGTGTAGGATGAATATGAATTTAACATCTCTAAAATGTAGAAAAACACAAGAAGAATGAGTTCTAGTTTATTTTATTTCTCCTTTCATATATATTATCCTTTAATCTGATTATAAAAATACTATGTGTTCATAGCAGGAAATTTTGAAAATAGAAGAAATATTTTTTAAAAAACCCTAAATATCCTACTCAACACCCCGGAGATAACCACTGTTAATATGCTGGCATTCTTAGTTTTCCACCATCTACATGCACTTTGAGTATCTAATCAATGCCTCATTATCTTACTCTTAAATTTTGTTTTCATTTTTAAGTTTAAGAATGACATTAAAATGAATATCTTTGTTTATAAATGTGTCCATGGTATCTCTGATTAATACCTTATGATATGTTTTTAGAAGTTAAATTTGTGGACTAAAGACATTTTAAGTTTTTAACCCATATCACCAAATTGTACTACTAAAGATACAATCTACTTATATCCTTCCAATACTATCCTGACAAAACTTCATGAAGTGAAATGATGGACTTAAGGGCGGAACTAATAATAACTCAGTCACAGTTGCTGATTCTAATGTTGAAGCAGCGAATACTCTGGAAGTAAGGAATAAATTGAGAATCCAAAAGAAGGAAAGGGCTCTCCAGAAGCAGGAGGCAGTTCTATAGGGTAAGTTCAAGATTGAAACACTAGGGACTAATAGCCAACCTACACAAAGCCTAGGACAAGAAAGAATCAACATATATGGGCTTCAAAGTAAAATAGGCTTATTTCTGCATGTTCACATCCACTAACTTCTAGAGTCTTTCTATTTTAAAAAATACAAAAATAATAAAATTTAACCATGTAAGAGCTATAATAAAAGATATTTTTCAAAATGCTGAAAGAATTTGAATTGTTTAGAAAGGGTACATAAATTTTTGTGCAATAAACAAAGGACTTTATGATGCTGAAACAATGCTCCTTCTAGAGGAAGACTAGAAGAACAAATAAAAAGAGAGGACAAATTGTTTCAGTCAGAATGAGAAAAATGGAACAGCCTGCTAAGAATAGTTGTGAAATTTCCATCCTAAGAGACCTACAAGCAAAATGCACTTTATACTTGCTTTATATGTAGGGGAATAGAACTCTCTGATACCTGTCTTACCTAAATTGTAGGCTTTTTGATATATGACTGTTCTGTTGCTGCACAATATTTAAAAGGGGTTAAGTGTTCAATTATAAGTTTCTAATAATAAATTCCCTAATGATTCTATAGATTTCTTATTTTGGATATAAGCCACAAATGTAAATATTTGTTTCTATTGTTTGTATTAATATAGGCTTTGAATAAGTTAATTTGTATGGAATAATGGTCTGTCTAAAGTTTTACTAAATTTAATTTTCATATCCACTGAGAAACATAAAGTTCATGTACTCAGATCCAGATGTGCATTACAATTACTTATCATTTAATACCATGTGGACATGCTTTGTAGAATGTCATTACCATGGAAGCAGTTATAGTGTTTTTCTCACATTTGCATCATCTATACCATTTGCCTCATAGCCATATAAAAAAGGTTCAGTAATTATGTTGGAGTTAACATGAATTAATGAATGAATCAATCGGTCAATGAGTTGTAAGTAAATATCAAAGTGGATATAAACGAAGAACAAATTGCATTTTTATAACATTGCTTTGCTCTTGTGTTTCTGATGATACCTGATGACAAATGAAAACAAGTCATGAAGATAGTGGCACATAACCACAGTCTGCTACATTGGCAGCTGCTTTGAGTATATTCTTCACCCAGCTCTCCCACACTACTTTTGGAGAAAGGCAGCAAATGACACAGCCTACCAGTTATCTCTCTAAGTCGGGTAACTGCTAACTGAATTAAAATGATTATTTCATGGCAGTACTCATTGTTAGGATTTTTTGTTGTTTCATAGATTGGTCTGTCTCTCTATCTGTCTATCCATGCATCCATGCATCCATCCATCTATCTTTCACCTATCTGTCAAGTTTGTTCAAGGCCTATACCAATCTGCTAAGTTTCAATTTATTTTCGTTTTCACAATAAATTAAATGTGAAATAGCATTTGCAGCCCTTCTCCTTTGACATATATTCATATCTAATTTATTCCAAATGAGACAAATTTATGATATTGCCCTCTGAATCAAAATGTGTAAAACTGGCCAGGATCTCCCCTTGATAGCATCACTCTTACTTATCATGAATGTGTAGCATTGCTTTATCTGTTATCTGATAAATCATTTTATTAAAGTTCCACTGTGTGCAAAAGTAAAGAAAATTTATGGAAATTGGGACCAGCAACAGTTTCTACTGCCTTGATCCCTGTGCCCATCTCATTTGGATACAACTGAAGTAAATGCCATAATTTTCAAGATAACCAAAAAACAGAGAGCACTCTTGGGCAAAAAGAACTATCTTCGCTTCGTAGGATTACCTTATTGATGGCAAGTGACCAAGCTGACCAGCTATACTCGGGTCATGGATGCAGCCTACCCTGTTTTCAAGTGTAAAGCTTGTGTCCAGAATTAGATTTTAAGCTCTCTGAAGGTGAAGGAGGGGAGAGGAGGGGAAGAAATGTCTGTTTGGTAAAATGTTCAATTAATTCTGGATCTTTACTTCCCAACCAATGAGAGAGGGGCTACAGGCCCATTGAAGTCAAATTGACATTCTTCGTTCCTTCCTTCCTTCCTCCCTCACTTTCTTCCTTCCTCCTTCCCTTCCTCCTATCTTTTCTTTCTTCCATCAAATGTGTATTGTACTTCTAATATGTGCAAAGTATGTACTATGCAATGACAAATGCAAAGAATAAAAGGTTAATCAGACATTTTCAATCCCTAAAGATGTCACAACTTTCTGGCAGAAACAGATATACAAACAGAAATTAACCATAAAGTGAATGGTTAAGAGGCATCTGTCCTTTGGAAACACAGTAGCTGAACTGTGCTTATATACTTGTCACAATGTATTTGTATGGTACTTTGTACTTTTCAAAAGCTTTCAAACGTTTCAGAGCACAGTTCTGTGTGGATAGTATTGGATATAAGTCTGCTTATGAAAAAGAAAATATGCAAAGTAACACTTACCTTTCTTCCTCTACCTGTAAAAAGAAAAGAGTAAATGTGTTATTTTATGAGGAAACAATTATTGAGAATCTGCTAAATATTTACTTTCAATAATAGATTTCTTCTGGAGTCAGAATTACAGTGATAGTGATTACACTATCAGCAGTAAGCAGAATTCAAAAGGTTTTGGATCAATACTTCCATAAAAGGCAAAAAATGCATCTTTTTGGAAAATTCTAACATGATATTAATATTCTTCACAACATTTATATGACATTTAAAGTTCATTAAATTATTAAATTAGCTATTAAAGCTATAATGAATTATCTTTCATCAATATTCTCCATTTTTGCTTTTTATAATTTTATGAGCAAGGCTGTTTATTCATATGGTTCAAAAGCAAAAATGTATTAAAAGTATACAATTATACACTAAAAAATGTCATTCCATCTGGTCCTGTGTTCCCTATTTCCACTTTACCCCCACCCCCACAGGAGGCCACTATTATTGGTTTCTCGTATGTTGTTCTCAAGTTTAGTTTGGAATATTTAAGAAAATTATTACAGACTCATTTTTCTACTTTTTCCATACTGTTCTTCACTTGTCTGTATATCACATAGTTCATTAAATCTTACAGATCTTTGCTCATCAGTATATAGTTTCTTTATTGTTTTTCTTAATTTTTTTATAAGATTCCACTGTATTAATCTAACACAATCTATTTAACTAATTTTGACCTTTACCCATTAGGGACATTTGGATTGTTTCTAATCTTTTGTTATCACTAGGATGTACTTTATCATCTAACCAGGACACTTTTAAGAATGAAAGTGAAAGTTATTGTTTATTATGCCAAGAAAATTGATGTAATTTGGGGTTTTCCTAGGCAAGCTAGAATGAAGGTCATGCTGGCTATTAAAAATAATATTGTAATGAGTAATTGTTACGTATACGCTACATGCAAGTATATTTGTAAGATAAATTCCCCAATATCCTTTTTGAGTTAAAGGTATAGGCATTGGTAACTTGATAGATACTACCAATATCCTTTCATAGAAATTATACCACTTTACACTCCACAAATAATGGACACATTTCCCCACAGGCAATATGCAGTGATACCCAGTATGCTATCAAACATTTTAATTTTGGCCAATCTGATAGGTAAAACATGATAGCTCAGTATAGTTTTCATTCACATATTTTATTATGAGAAAATTTGACAGTTTTGTCATATATTGAAAAATCATTTGTATTTCCTTGTTCGAATGATTAGCTAATTTCCCTTGCCTATATTTTTATTAGGTTATTGATATTTTAATTATTTATATCTAGTATTTCTTTATATGTAAAGAATATTAATTCTTTGTGAATTGAGTTGCAAACATTTCTACTTTGCTCATTTTTTGTGTCACACAAATGTTTATTATTTTTGTACATTTTTATGCCTTCTGGGCTTTGAGTCAGAATTCATAAAGTCATATATTTTAGAAGACTATAAAGAAATTATCCTATGTTATCTTTGAAATCATTATGATTTAATTTTTCTCATTTAAATCACTGCTTTATTTATAATTTGTGCTAGTGTAGAATATATTTTTATTATTCAACTTCATTTTTTTCCAGATGATTGCCTAGCCATTCCAACAAGGTTTATGAAATAATTCTTCTTTTCTCCACTGCTACGATGCCATCTTTATTGTATTCAATCTGACCATGTATATTTGGATCTACTTCAAGATTTTATTTTATTCATGTATCTACATCACATTTTTTAAACTAATGAATCCTTTTTAAAATCTTGTAGGGCTAGTCATCCTTAATTGCTCTTATTCTTAAGGATTTGCCTGATTATTCTTTCTTGTGTAGTCTATGAAAATTTTAACTTGCAATATGTTGAATTCTCAAAGAAAGTGTGCTATGTTTATATTGAGATCATGTTAAAATCACTAATTAACTTATGGAGAATTTATGTGAGTGTAATGTTTAGTCTTTCTAACCAAGAACATAATAGGACATTCAGTCTTTTAAATACTTAGTTTGAATTAGCAGTATTAAAAAATTTTCATCAGATCTCATACATTTTGTGTTAAGTTATCCTTAAGTGTCTGTTGCTATTACAAATGAGGAATTTTTATTCCTATTATTTCTTCTATGATGTAATTGTTTATACATAGTAAACCTATTAATTTCTGCTTGTTAATTTTGCACTCTCATGTCTTACTAAATTCTTTTATTTTTTGTAGTTTTATTTTTACTCAATTTAATAGGTTTGTAAGCATACAATTGTATTTTCTGCAAATGGATAGTTTTTGCTCCTCTTTTTAGAGTTTTGAAACCTCTGATTTCTTTTTTTAATGTCAAATTATTTATTCAGGCACATTCAGTACTGTTAAATGGTAATGGTGATAATGGATACTCAGTCTATCTTTGTGTTTAGTAGGGATGCTTTTAGTATTAAGCATAATGAAACTTTTAAGTTGAGATGTAAATATTGTATTATGTTAGTATCATTTATTACCAAGTTAGTAACTGTCTTTATCAAAAGTATTTACTGATCATTGTCAAATACTTTTACTTTAATTATGAAAGAATTCATATACTTTCTCTTCATAGATCTGTTAAGATAATTATTTTTATTAATAGCTTCCTTAATAGTCAATTATTTTGCACTTGTGGAATAATCGCCACTTTTTCATGAATAATTACTCTCTTAATATGCTAATAGACTTAATATTTTATTTAGAATTGTAAAAAAAATTTATGAGATCAGTTCATAGTTTTTTGTGTGTGTCATTGTTATTACTTTTGCTGTAAATAATATACTTCCTTCATAGTAAAACTTTGAAAGTTTGCTGTCTCTTTCAATGTTCAAGAAGAGGATTTAAAAGCATTAAAACCATCTGATTTCTTTTTAAGACCTTTTAGTTGTTTGACACAACTGTGAAAACACCTGGACTTGCTGCTTTGGGAATCTAGCTGCTTTGCAAATTTCTCTGTTTCTTCTAAGAAAATCCATGTTCTAAGATTTTCTGTTTCTACCAGAGCTAGTCTTAGTAAATTACATTGTCTTAGAAAATTATTCATATTAGTTTTCAAATTTATGAAGATACAGTTGAATAAAGGGACCTCTTAATGATTCTTTCATGTTGTTTTACTTTCATTAGGTAATTTTTTCTTTATCATTTTTTGCTTTAGGTTAGATCTTTTGGTTGGGTTTTTATGGGACCATGTTTTGGATTTACATATTATTTCTACTATATTTCAGTTTTCTCACTTTTCAACTTCTGTTTTTATCTTTACAATTTTTTTCTTCCACTTACTTTCAGTTTATTTTGTTGATTCTTTTTAACTTTTTGAGAAAGATGCTAAATGCACATACTTTTATTCTTTCTTTTTATTTATATAAGCATAGAACTATGATTTTTTGTTAAAATTTTAAAAATAAAATGTTTCACTGTGTTTTCAAGTATCTTTGTTTGGTGTGTTAGAACTTCTTATGTTTAAAAAGATTTATATATTAGTTCTATCAATTATATTCCATATTCTGCTAAATTATGTTAACATTCTTTTACATTACTCATAGATCTGTATTTGTTTAGACAGTTTCTATTAGTTCCACTAAAATGAGCAATGATAAAATTGACAGTGTTTCTTTTTTCTTACATGCCGCTCAGGTTTTCTTCTAGCATTCCATTTTAACAAGGAAATGTTCTTTTTAGCATTTATTTTTGTAGTGTTAAATGTGCCACTACTTTGTTCATGTGATTTGTCAGGTTTGAATGATATTATCTGACTTTCACCTTTAAAGATGAGGAATTACCAAACTCACTCTAGTTCATACTTTCTTTTGCCTCCCCCTTTCATTATATATGTTTTATAATTATTTCTGCATTGTCAGAAGCTATAATATTTACAATCCCATCTGTCACCCTAAGTTACACTTTTGTTTTAGTCTTTTTCTAGATTTAAATATAATAAATGCTCACATAAGTTCTTTGACAGTTTCTTCAATTAACTCTTGGTTGCCTTGCATTTAGCCGATGGTAGTTTCCCTGAGAAATTTATAGAAACAATAACCCCACAGAAATGCTTTTACTGTAGCTTTTATATTTGAAGGAGAGAATGGATTTATATTTAACTTTAATTAACCATATTATCTCCTTAAGAAATATGTATATATTGCTCCACTGTCTTCTGACACTGGATACTGTGGAGAAATTTGTGACCAGTCTTAACAACTTTTCCCTTGAGAAATAATCTGTTCTTATTCTTTGACATTCTAAAGAAGTATTTATTTATCTTTAAAGTTTAATGACTTCATTAAGTTACATATGTCTCTGTTAACTCTTTTAGGTCAATTTTTCAGACATGTGGTTGCCATTTCAATATTGACATTAAAGTTTTACTTCATAAAATTTTTCTTGTATTATATTGTTATTTGTTCTACTCAATTGTATTAATTTTTTCTTTGGGTGCCCATCTTCAGGGTTATCCCTTGCTTGCCTTCTACATCTATTATTTTTTAACTCTTTAAAAATTGTAATTCATTATTTTCCTATTCTCATGGCCCTTGCTTTATTTTGTGTGATATCAACTCTCCTTATGATCCCTCATATTTCATCTTCATTTCTTTGTGATGATTTGATTTTCCTTCTATTTCTTTTCTGACCATTACTTATTTCTGCTTTATAGCCTTCTTTCTTAAAGAGAATTACTTTATTAAGTTTTTTTTTTTTTTTGGTTCACGGTAAAATGATAGGTCAGAATTTTCACATGGTCTATAGCAATATATTTTCTGGTGTGTTATCTCGTAAATTTAGCTGAACTCAACCACTTTTTATCTTATGGCATCTGTGCATAATGCAATTGCCAGCTCCTAGACCAACTATTTGAAGGAGACTGTATATTTTGGTGTGTTTTCTGATATTTGCCACCATTGTTCCCATTTGCTATTCACTTATCCCCACGGATTTAATTTTACTTTATTCCTGGGCTGTTTTGATGATTGTATTTGCTTTGGGTAGCTCTTATATGTCTTGGTTTTAATTCTTTCTTTTATATATTTCTTATTACATTACTGAAAAGTGAGTGTAGGTATTTACCCAAGGCACATTGTTTCTGTTCAAGAAGCAGAGAAAAGGTAAGTTGCTATCTATTTCCATATACATACTGTTGAAACCTTTATTGTATTTGCTGTTATTTGCAATGAAATTTTGAAAAAAAAATAAAGCCTTGATATTGTCTTGACAATGATGAATTAGAAGTCTCATGACTGCTAACACAAATAACCTGAAGGTTTAATATTGCTCTTACCTTGTTTATTGAAACCTATAAATATAAACTTGTTTCCCTAACATGTATCTTTAAAATATGTACTCATACTGAAATACATAATATCTGTTAAACACAGAAACTTTTTCTTCAAAGAAGTTTTAAAAGTTTTACTTTATATTATTTTTTCTCCTGGAAATCTATTTCATTCTTTACCTAGCCAACATGAAAAGCATTCTGCATTTAAGAGCCAATGTAATACAGGGTGCTGTGGCACTGAATTACATTAGGAATAAGTATTCCATTCACTAGGACAAAGTTGGCATCATTGTAGATAAATGTGTTTTCTAGATCTTCTCTCAGGCATTAATGGACTTAAAGGGAAACTGAAAAATAACTTGGAGGCACTCATCATGCATATGGTAACAAATGATCATCTTAAGTGATTCAAGAAATTCTCAGATTAGACATAACCACCAAAATTCAGCCCCAAATGCTTCAGATATTTAAGAAGACAGGAAATTACTGTCTGCTTCTATCTAACTTTAGATGAAGTGAGTGAGCAAAATCATTAATCATTAACCCCAAAAGCCACCAAAAAAGCTGCTTAATTATTCTCTTGAGTTGCTGAATGCTGAAAGTGAAAAACACTGCAACTATAAAGGTGAGTAACTGGATCAATTATGAGTTGGCCCTAAACATTCTTACCAAAATTGGTATTGCCACCTCCAGGTGTTTGTGAACAGACAGGACAGCATTCCCCAGGGGGCGTTACAGGGTCGGCACAGTCCAGCACATCCTGGCATTCTATCTTGTCACAGAGAATGGCTCCATTGTCACAGACACAGATCTGACAAGGGGCAGGTTTCCAAATGTCCCTGTTTAAGTACATCTGGCCATTCTGAGTGCAGGCTATTTCTTCACCATATCCTTCTAAAATAAGAAAAGAAAGAAGAGGTTAGTAATCTGAAATTATAGAATTGAGAAAATAAAAGGTGAGCCATCTTGTGGATTCTAAAAAATTCTGGACTAAGAAGTAACCTTCCAAGGAGCCAAACACAGATGAACTGATTTCATTTCATAACAAAATAATATGTAATTCACCATGAAATAATGATAATGTATCCTTGCATGATAGGGGAAGAAATAAAAGTGATACAATGGAGGTATATTTTTTAACCAGATAATGCTTCCTTCAAGATTTTATTCTTGAAGGTATGAATGATGAAACATGAGAATATCAATAAAGAGGGATAAAAGAGAACCATCTGAAAATGGGGAGAAAATGAATAGCTCAAAGGAGAATATAAAATTTGAATGTTTGGTGAACCCTATTATGACTTGCAACTCACTGGAAACTTTAGTAAATTCCACAACAGGAGACAGTATGTTTTCATGTACCATAGAAAAAAACTTCAAAAAAGAAAAAGGTGTATGTTTTTATTAAAATTATTTTTAAATGTACAGTAAAAAAGTATAACCATGTCCCATTTCATGGAGTAGAATTCTATTTGATATACTAAATTGATGGTGTTTACTCAACTGTGGCAGAAATGCAAAACTTATGCAGATAATGAGTGAATTATGTTTGCATCAAAATTAATTAAGGAAAACCATAGCCAAAATAATACAGTGAGTTAATATATATTTGTCTAGTGCTTTTCTACATTTACATTACAATTTAAGAAAGTTTGGGAAAATACACACACATATATATGTGTGTGTGTGTGTACACATATTGCTCAAGAGCAGTTCTATTATACATTTACTAACAAGTAAACACATATATTACATCATTAACTTTGTGATTTTATAAGAAATACTACAGAATTTTAAAACATAATGTGGATCAAATCATCCTTGCTTAAATACATCAAGAACTTCCCAACTACTTAAATTCAAAACTTCCTTATAAAGGCTAAAGACCTTCTTTCCCATTTCTTGCACAACTTGACCACTTTTGCCCAGCACTACCTCTCCTTCCTTCATCCCAGGCCCACATGGCTATCTATCATTACTTACTTCAATGTCATCTCCCCGCGAAATTCTTTTCTGACTACCCTGCAAAAATTAGACTTCCTTTACCCAACTGATATTTTTCAGAGACCTTTTCAAAGAACTCATTCACTCAGCCATTCATTCATTTATTCATTCATTCATTGTGTATTATATGCTAGGTAATTGAAGAGATACTAAAATGTGAACAAATAGGCAAAAATCACTGCCCTCAGGAAGTTTATTAGAATGAGTATTAATTTTTTATTTTTGTTTAGTTTATCTCCCTCACTAGAGAAAAACTAGATGAAAGTAAGGACTAGGCGTCTTGTTCATCACTGTATTTCTTTTCTTTTTTTTTTTTCTTTTTTAAAATGGAGTTTTGTTCTTGTCGCCCAGGCAGGAGTCCAATGGTGCGATCTCAGCTCATTGCAACCTCCGCTTCCTGGGTTCAAGCAATTCTCCTGCCTCAGCCTCCCAAGTAGCTGGGATTACTGGCACCTGCCACCATGCCCAGCGAATTTTTGTTTTAGTGGAGACGGGGTTTCGCCGTGTTTGCCAGGCTGGTCTCCTGACCTCAAGTGATCCACCCACCTCAGCCTCCCAAAGTGCTGGGATTACAGCCGTGAACCACTGTGCCCGGCCTCCTCATTGTATAGCTTGATGCTATACCTTTCATAGAACAGCCATTTAATAAATATTTGTCTACTGGATGGATATAATGAATGAATCTAAACTACGGTAAACTAGTTTAATTGCACAGCATGAACTTTGTACTTCATAAAAAGATGTTTTAATGTAGTTGTAATCAGTTTATGAAAGATATTATCATTTGGCATATAAATATATTCAAATGATAATGCAAAGCTACATATGAAAATTATTTTAGTTTACAATACAGATATTAATACAAAAATCTGCTTTATATAATTATTATTTGTCAATTATACCTTAATAAAGCTGGAATAAAAACATTTTTCTCACTGTCCTGTGGAATATTTTGCTTTATGTATTTAGTCTTTCATCACAGATATTTGGCAAACGGAAAATTGCTTTCAGAGAGTAACACTACTATATCCTAATGGTTTGTGTGCTGTTTTATAAGATGAGGACACAAGTTTCTAATCTGTTTTATCTTCATTAAAAGACTTGTATCACATAATACATATCTAATCAACAAAACAGTATTAGCTCTATGTCCATAGTGCTATTATAGTCATTTAAAACCAAGGGGAAAATAGAAATTATGTTTTAATATGCTTTTCTGGAAGATTATTTTGAAAAAATGAGAAATGTATTCATCAAATAAACAGTGTGACTTTTAGATGAAATATCACTTTAACACAGTGTAATTCCATGAATAACATTTCCAAAGACACAACCTGTATAAAAATGGGCTTATGTCTATAGTTCACTGAACAATTCCATTAAGTAGATAACTTAAGGGTAATTTTGCTCATTAAGTTTTATGATTGAGAAGGAAATATCCACTTACAAATGTTAAATGCTATTACCTGAAAATGAGATACTACTTCAATTAGCTTGTTTCTCTCATTACACACTCTTGGGTGGGGGTGCTGGGAGTTAAGTGCATATGTGCCTAGTACTAATTGTGCAAAATATTGAAAGCATATGTGGCTGGGTGTAGTGGCTCACACCTACAATCCCAGCATGTTGGGAGGCCAAGGTGGGAGGATTGCTTGAGGCCAAGAGTTCAAGACCAGCCTGGGCAATATAGTGAGATACTATCTCTGCAAAAATTTTAAAGTTAGCCAGGCACAGTGGCTTGTGCCTGTAGCTCCAGCTACTCCGAAGGTGAGGTAGGAGGATGATTTTAGCTCAGGAGTTCTAGGCTGCAGTGAGCTATGGGAACGCTATGCTACTGCACTCCATCTTGAGCAACAGAGTGAGACCTGGACTCACAAAAAGAAAAGACAAGAAGGAAGCATATGTGTTCCTTTCTGTCCTCAAAATATATATTATTGTGGAGTATTATATATATTATATATGTTACACATATAACAATATATGTATGTTTTATATATATAACATTGTGGAGTGCTATATTTGTTATATAATAGATGAATATAATTAACTTATTATATAATTTTAATTATATAATATATGTTTGTTTATTGTATAAATCTTGAAGGAGCCATAGAGAACAGGATAAGTTATCCCCTGAAGATTTATAAAATGAATTATTATAACAAAATATGTTATTATTGGATATATATTATATATAAGGATATATATGCTGATGGGATAATTAGATATTTGGAAGCAGAGAATATGAAAAACAAAAACAAGATGACACGTAATGATGTCAATTAAATATTAAAATATGTGAGGAACTCTTCAAGGAGTAGCTTATCTTCTTCCTTGTGGCTCCTTTAGGGTTGGAATAAAAAGACACATTGTCTCAGTCTTGTGTTAACACCTAGAAGAGCAGTTTCTTTCTGAAAGTTTAAGACAACATAACTTCAACTCAAGGGGCAAAGAAGTGGGCCACTGGATTACTTTCTTTAAATGATAATGTTAAAGGTTAGTTTTATACTCTGAGTCATCATGGCTTCCCTTCTCCTGAGAATTTATAATTAAATTTAAGATGATGTGGAAAGTTAGTTGGAATGCTTTTAAATAGCAAGGAGACGAAAAACCACATTCACTGTTAAACCTTGTCTTCTCTTCACTCAGACAAGAATCCATACACATCACAGAGGGCTCAAAAACTCAGTGAACTCTCATTGTCCATGTCTGAATGAAAGACATGTACAAAGAAACAGTGGGTAGAAAATACAGGGTGTCTTGCAGTTTTCACGGATCTACATGGTAGTTGTACACCATATGATTAAGTTGTCCCTTCTGTTTTCTACACAGACATTTACTTAAACGAAAAGAAAAGTAAAATAGAAAGCAAAATTGCAGCCAATTTGTTGAAAAATATTGCAGTAAAGTTGTCATAATAGAATTATTTTATAAATGACAACACAGTATAAAATAACAAAAATTTTCAAATGACATTCTGAGAAATTCAATTCTGTCCTCCTGATTTCTCTATCCAAATCATAAA
Source organism: Homo sapiens (assembly GCF_000001405.40). Classification (NCBI taxonomy): domain Eukaryota; kingdom Metazoa; phylum Chordata; class Mammalia; order Primates; family Hominidae; genus Homo; species Homo sapiens. Next base: position 189,114,585 of record NC_000002.12, read on the forward strand.
ATTAACCCAAGCTGACGTCCAAAGCTTAGATTCAAGGCCCAGGACTTAAAAAAAAAAAAAAAAAATGTTTCTTAAAATACCTGGATATTGGGGCCGGTCAGGGAGTAGGGTGGGGTTGCGGGAGGGAGAGCATTAGTAAAAATTAGAAAAAAATAGTTAATGCATGCTGGGCTTAATACCTAGGTGATGGGCTGATGGGTGCAGCAAACCACAATGGCACACGTTTACCTATGTAACAAACCTGCACATCCTCCACATAAACCCTGGAACTTAAAATAAAAATAAAATTTAAATTTAAAAATTAGATAAATATTTTTATATAATCTAAAAAAGAACGCCAAAACTATAATTTTGCATTACTTGTATTTTTTGCTGTTTATGTTTAACTTTCCTAAAATTGATTAGGACTGGTAGAAATCTGATAATACCATCACTATTTTGTAATTTTCATGTTTATCTCCCAACCTACAAGATTCTTTTACCCTCACCAAATGTTCCAATAAATTGAATCCATTGTGAAGTCATTCCCACAACAATTGTGGCACTGATATATTACAGAAAAGAGATATATTTTATCTGATCACATTTTATTTGAAATCAACTCAATTTTTCTGTTTCTCATATATCCTCATAGATTTCTCTTCTCATAAATCTTAAGTGCTTTTAAATTTAGTTGTAAGAATTCAGTTCTTAATCACTAGATGGCAGACCAAATCCACCATCTTATTATAACAATTAGAAACTAAATTATCACAATTGCAGCTTGCCAACTATATGGTATGCCCTGCATCCACATTTTTTCACACAATTACACCTGTGGGGGAAAAAAAAAAAGCCTGCATAGAAACGGCCATATTGAAACCTTGGACTGGCCAAGAGAGACGACTGTATTTGCATATTAAATTATTGGAGTCTACTTACAGGCTTTGAAAAATATATGAAATAAAAGTCCCTAAAATTATGTTAGATATTCTCTAGCCATTAACTAAAGTTCTTTCAAGCAGAAATAATACACAGCACACACGTGTTATAAAAATTTTAAATCTCTTATTCAGACACAGGTTTGTGCTGATCATTTTCCCCTGTGAGCTGTGAGACTGTGAGCTCCTCGACAGCCAGAACTGTGTTTACCTCAGCAACCTTCACATTTAATGTTATATAATCCGTCTTTGATAAACGTATGTGTAGCATTGATGAATGCAGATGTGAATGAGGAAAGTAAGGAACTAGTTCATTGATATGCCTATTAAAAAGATAAGCACTTTTAGCTCTCTTTCCTCCTTCCCTAATCTTTCCAGAGAGGATGTGCTCTTAGGAACCCTTTTTTGAATGAAAGGGAATGGTCACTTGGTGGTTCTTACCAGGTGTGTCCCTGACATTCAGGCCTCTGTGTGACCAGAAAGGAAGAAGACTGTGTCAGTCACAACAGTTCATATTTTAGAACAACCTTCAGAAAGCTACAGCAACCCTTCAGCCTTCCTGACCCAGCAGATTTAGGTCCCTTTTGGGATTGTGAAGATCTGGGCTACCATTACTTAAAGTTTCTCTGACTGTAAAGGTCCTTGAGGGACTATAATCATGACACTGTCAGCTGGTGGCCTCATGAAGTGGAGAGAGAATGCCTTGTGGGACAAAGGAGGAGGTAATAAAGCCGCCCACGTGTCAGTCTGGATGCCACAGATGCTGCCTTTAGTAATGCACAGCAGAGCGTGGGCTCCTGGATGGGGTTCCAGAGAACCTACCAAGGAAATCCTTCCCTTCCTTCTGCTCTAGGGCACTGTTTATCATTAGAAGGGAAAGACGAAGAGGGACAGCATTCAATTCCTTCTTTAGACCATGCAGAGGAGATGCCAAAAATTCCACATTCCTCATTTTGCTTTCCTTAAACAACTCCCAAATTTGAAAAGTTAGATACATATGAAGCCACCAGGGATACCTGAGGGGGATCTATTACATACTTTGACAATTTTTTTCTATCTCAGCCTCAAGATCTATGGGATGGTGGGAGGATAAGTATGTATGGGGTAGGCCTATGGGGTTTTACATCTTCTGTTCTTCAATCCACTGCAAAGACTTTTACTTTCTAGTGAGCCCCGCAAGCTTAAATCTGGTTTTAGGATAGTTATCCAAATTATTACTTTTTCTGTGCCCTGCTCCTTTTTTCCTTGTACCAACTGAACAAGAGTAGGCATTCAATAATTATTTGAGCTGAGTTAAATTTTTGTTCCACTAAGGACAATCATGTTTTATATTCTAAAGCAATATAATGACAATTTTGAAAATTTTCCTTGAAATCTGAAAAATTGAAAAGGAGATGACTCATAGAAAGCTTCATTTCAATGCATTTCAGTGAGCATATGAATTTAAAAAATTTGATAAACTGTCTGTGAAGGTGGTTGGTTTCTTCAGTGCAACCATTAAATGTTTTCCAATCTCATAAGCAAAGTTTTTCAGTTAACTAGTAAAACTGCTGTTTTTACTTTACTTAAAATGGAAAAAATAGAAAGGAAAAACTCTCATATTAGGTATACTTAAGTTTTTTTCCATGTATCATTGGGAAATCTAAATGACTGTGGCCAAAACGTGAAACTAAAACTACACATACTGCACATGCAATGCTCATCTACAGTTCTGTCTGGAAGAGCAGATTTCAGTCTGCTAATGCATTTGACATAGATTTTTTTTCCCACATACCTCAAACTACTAAATAGCTGCAAAACAGCACAAAGAGAATTGAGCCAACTCTATAATCTATACACTAGAAATTTCAGCAGTAATTTTTATAGCCAACCTTAGTTCTAATCTTAAATATTAATCCTCAGTGAATAAGTTTGGTACAGAGCTATGCCAAATGTGTCTGCCTACCTAAATACATGAAACATTTGTAAGTGTTCTGAATGATGTCTACTTAATCTCTCCTAGCCTAATATTGCTTGAGATCAACAGGAGAGACAAAAATCTGCTTAACTGTTTCTCTTTCAAAGGAGAAGTAAATATTCAGTAATATATAGTATCCACATTCCAGATTTCCTTCATCTCCTTCTGGTCTTAGCTCAAATGTTACCTACTCTGGTCACCTTACCAAAAAAATTGCACATGACTACACACACATACAACCATAACACTCTCAATTCACTAATTCTTACTCTTTTTTTTTTTTCTTTTAATGTAGTAGTTACCACTTTCAAGCCTACTATATATTGAATTTATTATGTTTATTGTTTGTCACCCCATGATAGAATTATAGCTCTGTGAGAACACATATAATTTATTTTGCTTCCTTTGTTGATATATTCTGATATCCTAGAATAGTGTCAGGATCATAGTAAATGCTCAAGAAGTATTTGTTGAATTAATTTATTGAATATTAGTTGTTTGCTTAAGAAGCTTTATATGGTAAAGTCATTTCATAATATTCTTTTGTATATAAAAAGGGATTTTTATATCTAAAGTCAATTGTTAAGAATACCAAGTAAGAGATCTAGGCCATATTGAATACAAAATGATATGCTTCAACCCTGGGCTATTACCTGATTTTTAGAGAAGCGCCATTTTAGCTGCTTATTTAAATGTGGGCCAAACCTACAAAGCTTTAAAATACCATGAATTATAGGAATATGATGTATTATCATTTATTCCTGACATTATATCCTAAAAAGAACATATATTTTTACTCATTTTTGTAATTGAAAATAATTATTATTGTATTTTAAGAGAATATTCATTATTGTATACTCAATGAGTATAAAATTAAATATTTTACATAAAACATTTTAGAATCAATTTAACTCTGTATTTTATTATGTCTTTGCAGCTGCATTTTGCCTCCTTTTTCAATTTTCCCTGATACAGAAGAATATTTAGGGCCTCTAGAGAAAATCCAGACATTGTAGTCAGCTTATTTCTTCCAATTCATTCTTTATTCTCTGCCCTTGCCTTGAGCAAGTTGAAATTTCTTTTACAATCCACCAAACATTCCACAGTTCTCAATGGCTCTTTGATCCCATTCATTTCAGTACCAAGGATTCTAAAATATTTTGAAGAAAATTTCTAATAGGAATTTAAAGGGATGCCTCTTTCTGCATTATTCCCTCTGGAGCTCAGTTCTGGAGGCATGGGTGAAAGGAGACTAGTGCTGTCATCCCAAAGGCCAATTTCTAATTTTATCCTCTTGGAAATATCTAGTGACTTGAATTAGTATTCAGTTTTGTTCTGCTTTACACAGATTTAATTTACATCTATTTTCTAGCTATTAAAAAAGTAAGTGATTTTGCTGAAGAACAAAACTAAAACTAGATTTTACTCTTCTTTCTGGCATTCCTTTCCAAGTCACTTCCAGAACAGGTAATAGAATCTTTAAAAAAAAAACTGTAATTGTTATTTCAGAACCTAAATTCATCTCTTAATCTTCATATTTAGTTTATCCCTTATAATGTGCATAATTGCATGGAAGCCAATTTATTTATTGCATGTTTAAGATCAAAACTCAATATGCTCTGAATCTCAAAACCAGCCAAATGCCATAGTCATACTTGGTATGAGAAAAAGAGTTGTTGCCTTTATTGGAAAGTTATATCAATAACTTTTTAGATGCACAGCAAAGCTCTTCATTGGGTAATTTCTCTACTTGTAGGGAGAACAAAAGACAAGAAAAGCAAACAGACAAGGAGGATGAAGAGAGGAAGGAGGGAGAGGGGTAGAGGAAGGAGGATGAGACAATCATCTTCTTTCCATGTAACTTTACTACATCAAGAAGGAGGTTTTACAAGTTTCTTTAGAAAACAACAGAATTAACCTGAAGATACTTCTTTATCCTATTAGGGAAAATACAAAGAATGAATCGGAGATTTTTCACCTACAAATCCATGTGCTTCTAAGGAGAAGTTGCTATTTTCCTTAACAAGTAAACATGGGCAAACTTTATTAGAATTTCAAAAGTTTTAGATTATTACTTAATGTTATTCATTCAGTTTTTTAAATTCTGAATTTTATCATTATTGTATAATTCACATTTTAATTTATTTAAACATGGTGACTACGAATAAAATATCTATAAAGGAAAACAATACTCTTGTCATTTTCTTTAAATACCTGTGGAAAGATTTAAAGTTTCTAAAATCTTTCAAAAATTTGCTTAATTCCAAGTAACTACAGAATACTTATTTCTTGCTAATACAGTCATTAGCACATGCTGAGATCAGAGGAGAAAAATATATAACATTTCCTAAACTAAGGAGTATAAAATTTAGTTTGGACAAAAGATTAACTAAGTTGTTTACTAGTCAACTGGTTATTACTAAATTAATAAATGAAAAGTGTGCCTCAGTTTTTCTACTTGTTAACATATAGAAAAAGATAAAACATGAGCCTTTACTTTTGCAGATAAGAAATATTTAAAGATGTCATAAAGAAGTTTGCTTTAAAGTGTGTTTGAAAGCTCATCCTAAATTTGTCAATCTGGAAAAAGGAATAGAGGCATTAGTTAATCCATTTAATCGATAGTTATTTATCTAGCAAATATAATAACAATTTTATTAAATACTTGTTTAGTACAAAAGAAAACTTTGGATCAGAGAATGAGACATTTGGAGTTCAACTTCCTTGCCAAAAACAACCAAAATATACAGAAGCTGCAAAAGATAATGAATTTTTTGTAGAATGATTTTGCTCATATGTGTATTTCACTAGTGCATTCTGGAAAAATTACATACACACTGAAACTTCATAAACTCATTCTATTTTTTCATTTCTCTAACCTATATGTATCCTGGGGCCTTTTGAATTATTGGTCCTTATCTTGGAAATCTTCCTCTGTGTTTTGAGAGGTTTTGTCTAATGCTGTTTATTTTCATTAACTACAACTAAGTCTGGGGAACATCAACCTGAGGATTTCCTAGAATCCAAAACAAAAACAATCTTCAATCATTATGGAAATATAAAATTCTGTTTATAAAAGCAAACTTCAAATTAGTAAGGGTGAACAGAATACAGAATAACATTACATTCACTTATGAGTATATCATCTATTGATTCTCCTTTGGTGTCCTATTTGATAATGAAACATATTTTAAACCCTTAGACACCAAGACAGTCTGGATACATAGCAGAGAGAAAGTGGAAACCCATAAATGCAAATCATTCAATGATCCCTCAGAATATACCAGCCATAATAATGGCTAAGGCCACAGTTTAGAGATCCTCTGTGTGAGTTTCAGTCCTCCCTGTATGTTTTAGTCTTCCAACACCTTTGGCATTAAGAATGTGTTTAAATCATAAAATAAATACACTTATTCTTGAAGCAAACATCAAAATAACATAATGTATGCATTTTGATAATATTGTTTATTTATTCAACAAATATTTATCTGTTATTTTGCCAAGCACTGGGAATACAGTTAAAGTAATGAATTCCTCTCTACCTTTACGGAGTTTACAGACTACTGAGAGAACCAGTGCAGTAACAGATTATTAGAACATAATTCTTTAAATACAAAATTATAGGCAAATCTTGGTTGTTGTGGGAACATGTAGGAAGGGCATATCATCTAGGCTGGAGGTCAGAGAAGTCAAAAGAAATCTGGGATTTGAGTTCTTTAACTTCCTTATTTCCTTTCTTTAATTTATTGTTTTGGGGGTTGCTTTTTTTTCAAGTGAGAAAATTAAAATCCAAAGCAGTTTTTTCCAAAAATTCATTTCCAAGGTGTATAATATTGTTACTCCTGGCTCCTTCCTGGTAATTGGCAACAGATTCCTTCTCTCTACCAACTGGCCAGGATGGATCTGAAGGAGACCAGGTACTCCCTCTCAACCATGACTCTGATTTTAATTTCTTTACCATCTCTTCCTTTGACTGAGGGTAAAACAACAGCACTCTTGTTTCTAAACCAACTGGTATGTCCATGGGAAGGTGCCTTGGAGGAGGGGTGGGGCTCTTGCGGTGGTGCGGGCCAGCAGTCCAGAAGCCAAGACAGTGGTGCACAGCAACATGGCAGGAACCATTTGTTGCCGATGACTAACTCACTCTAGCCACACTGGGACAAACTATAAAAGCATTTTTCAGGAGAATGGCATGAACCTGGGAGGCAGAGCTTGCAGTGAGCCGAAATTGCACCACTGCACTCCAGCCTGGGTGACAGAGTGAGACTCCGTCTCAAAAAAAAAAAAAAAAAAAAAAAGCATTTTTCTAGGTCCAATTCCACAGTCTTTCTTCAATTGTAGATACAGAATTCTGGATTATTGTGTTTTGACATTTTAGGAAGTCAAAAAAATAGTATAATGTCTAGTTTGAAAGAAGCTGACTTTTGTAATTTAGAAAACACTGTGAAGTAAGATATTAAATACCCATACTAAAAGTTTATTTTACTTATACTTAGCACATCCACTTATACTCATTTTCATAGATTACTTAAGTATTTATTGAGTCTACTTACTGTATGCCTGACTATATACCATGGAAGAAAGATACAAAAGTTAAAGATACACAAGCTACTCCAGAGGAGCTTAGAGGAAAGTTTATAAAGTCACTCTTTTAACAAATATTTACTAAGAACATTCAAAATGTAAAGTATCTTCTATCCAGTTGTTTCTTCAATGACCACAATTAGTTGAGGTAGCAAATAGTTTATATAAGATACGAGGTTTGAGAATTACAAATAAGAAATCTGAAAAGATGGTATCACTATAAGCTGAAATTATCTGAGAAAGGGTGAGTAGAAGTGGGTTCTTAAGCAGGCCTTGAAAAAATAGAAGGTATTTGAGGTGGTGGGGGTAAGGAAAACTCTGCCTGGGAAAGAGGCAGGGAACCACCTAAAACAGGAATAGAGAGGGAGGAAAACATGTCATATACATAGCTTCAGGAGGGGATGGTTTAATTTATCAAAAAAAGGAGGTGATGAGAATACTTGGTACATGTGATACCTCTTCCACTAGGAAAGTTTTAACGACATGCCCACATGGAATTTGGTCATTCTCTTCTCTTGCTCTCATCTCACCTTATCCGTACACCTGGCAAATACCTGCAACATTCTATTACACTTATTGGTTTGTTTGCATGTAAACTCTACTGGGCTGTACATTTCTTGAGAATGAAAAATATTTAATTTCTCTCTATATCATGAGTGTATTAAAGTGCCTGATACATGAAATGCTTGCTGAATAAATGAAAAAAGGTAATAAATAAAAGAATGTATAAGAAGCTTTCAGGAATATTAACGTAACTACCTAATTAAAGATAAATCAGAAATAAATGAGACCAAAGGCCACTAGTGGAAAATGTTATACTGGAGTTAGGAGAAACAGTAGTTATGAGAACAGAGGTAAAGCCACGAGACACTAGGTAGAAAATACGAAGGGTTTGATGAAGTTTGGGTGGGATAAAGTATTTAATTTTTTTTTTTTGAGATGGAGTTTTGCTCTTGTTGCCCAGGCTGGAGTGCAATGGCACAATCTTGGCTCACCGCAACCTTCGCCTCCTGGGTTCAAGTGATTCTCCCACCTCAACCTCCCGAGTAGCTGGGATTACAGGCATGTGCCATCACGCCAAGCTAATTTTGTATTTTTAGTAGAGACAAGGTTTCACCACGTTGGTCAGGCTGGTCTCAAACTGCTGACCTCAAGTGATCCACCCACCTCGGCCTCCCAAAGTGCTGGGATTACAGGCATGAGCCACTGCGCCAGGCCTAAAAATTTTTAAAGATAATTTCAGAGTCTCAGAAATGAATGGAGGAAGAAATATCTACTGGGTACTTTGGGTTAAATTGTGCCCTGCTAAAAGATATACTGAATTCCTAATCCTCTGTACTTCAGAATGTGACATTATTTGTAAATAAGGTCATTGAAGATGACCTAATTAGTTAAGATGAGGTCATACTGGAATATGATGGGCCCTTAATCCAATATGACTGGTGTCCTTATAAGGAGGGAAGAGGGGAATAGATACAGAGACTCAGACACTCATTTCTGTTGTCATAAGCCACCCAGTTTGTGGTACTTTGTTATCAAGCACCCCTAGGAAAGTAACACAGGTGTATGGTCTAGACATCGAATGAAATAAAAGTTTTGGAGAGATAAACAAATTTTATTTTAAAAATCCTAAACTCTATTTAAGGCATGTTGGAGTGAATCTTAAGGAAGAATAACCCAGTAGAAATATTAATGGCAGCTATTAATTGTGTTCTAAAAGTTATGTTAAGTGAGTGATAAAAATTTTCCACATAGTCCTAACAACCATCCTGGTAGAGGCTTGGGGTCAATCATGATCACAAAGCTAGTGAGTGGCAGAGCCAATATTTAAAAAAAATATACGCCCATAACTATTATACATTGTGTTAGACAACCAGATTGCTATGTTAGAGAAAAGATAAGGGGATGGCACATTTACATGTACAAAAGTCTTAAGTCACACTCTAAATGTGGATTTTGACTAAGAGAGTGGAAAAGTGACAAATAGAGCTCCTGTGAAGAATGAAGAGCAATAGAAGCCTGGGTTAAAGAAAAAACAGGTAAAGCATGGTTTACCTTAGAGATGAGAAAAGGAAGCGATTAAGAAGGGTGTTTTAAAAGAAAATGTGTGAGAACAAGAAGCAATTAAAATATACTAAGATTGCGAACCCCATTCTTTCTATTCATTTCCCAACTCTAAATGGAGGAAATTTCATTTCCTGGTGTTCCGCCTGTGTAGCCACCAAATGTTACCATGCTAATATCCGGTGAAATTCCCCCTAGCTTTTCTGAGGCCTCACAGGATATTGATGGGGGAAAGACTATCTCCATGACATGAATAAGTCTTTCAGGTATTTTAATGAGTAGGGATAGTAAATGATTGCATACCAACTATTATTTAGTTCTGTTTAGATTAGTTTATAGGGCGCAGGAAATGAAATTTTTCCCCAGAATATTCAGCTTGCATTATATAAACATGACTCCGTTCAGCAAACAGAATGCACCATGCTTGCTATTTCACTTAAACTAAACAGGGGATGATAAAAAAGTCACTGAGGAAAAATTCAATAAAATTCAACATTATAAAATGCAATTTAAAGAAAACTATCAACTTCTGCTTTTTAAATTACATTACATTCATGTTTTCATTTTCTTTCATTTTTCTGAAGTCTGAACTAGTATTTTAAAAAGTTCTTAACTGTGTTTTCTTTTTTTTTTTTTTAATTTAATCTTTGCTATAGATTTGAAAATGGAATCTTCCTACCAGGACCAACTTATAACTTCAATTTTTTTCCTGTTTAGTAACGGTCAGGTTAGTCACAATAGATTCAACTGGCAATAAGGATTAGAAATAAAAGCAAATAATGAAATAAATGTAATTGCTCACTTTGTTTTATAGCAATAAAAGCATATGATCTAATAAAAAATTCTAAGTATGATCCATTTGCATACTGATTTAATGGCAGATAACTGAGTGAATCTGGATATTCTTATAGTGTTAATGGAATAGCAATGACTAAAAATTATTTAATGGAATTTTACGGGCTAAATATCAAGTATAAAGAACTATGGGATTTATTATGAACTCAACCAAACTTTTCATGACTGGACCATATTATCAAATGAGATGACAAGATGTGCTAGATACAAAAAGAAACTCAAGGTATGTATCCACCAATAGAAACTTCTCTGATGTTGTAGAGGTTCAACCATAAGGGAATAAGGCCATTCACAGTATCTGAATTGGTAAATAAAACAGTTAAGTAGATTTAGAGGCATTATTTTATGTCCAGCTGCATTTACCAATGACTTCCCTGGGAATTAGGAATTCTAAGGCATAGACAAAATTATTCTGCATATCCACACCAAATTGCACATACAGCAGTATTCACATACAGTTGAATCTTGAGCAACACAGGTTTGAACTGCATGGGTCCACTTATAAGGGGATTTCCTCCCACCTCTGCCACCCCTAGACAAACCCCTTCTCTTTCTCCTCCTTTTCAGCCTACTCAAAATGAAGATAATAAGAATGACTACATTTATGATGATCCACATCCACTTAATAAATCATAAATATATTTTCCCTTCCATATGATTTTCTTAAGAACATCTTCCTTTTTCTAGCTTCATTTATTGTAAGAATACAGTATATAACACAAACAACATATAAAATACATGTTAATCATCTGTTTATGTTACAGGTAAGGTTTCCAGTCAACAGTAGGCTATTAGTAGTTAATTTTGGGGGAAGTTGAAAGTTGTATGTGGATTTTCAACTGCACAGGTTATTGGCGCCCATAACCCCCATATTGTTTGAGAGACAACTGTATTCAACATGATTCTTCCTCATCTCATAAAATTAAGAGAAAGTTGCTTATTTCTTATGGGATCCAGGCTTTGGATTCCTTTAACTATAGACGGATAGGTGAAGAGTTTAGTCAAAACTTACAGGAATATGAAATCTGCAACAATAACCCTCTCCCAGCCATGACTTTATACTACTTTATACCAGCCTACATATGATAAATTACAAACTCCACTATATGTGTTCTAAAGTTTTCAGAAATTTAAAAATTGATTTTTACACAGGAACTATGTTATACTTAAATTTATTAGAGATTAATTTCACTTAACAATCATTCAGCTTGTTCATCTTAAGATTTAAATATTAGAAATGTTAGTAAAGAAAAAAACCAATATGATAAAGTAGCAAAATGCATATTACCTAAAAGTCAGTATATGTGGATTCTTTCCAATGGTAATATTTTGTGTAATGAGAAGAGTTTATGGAAAATTTCTTTAAGTTGTGATTAAACCCAAAGTAATATTTTTATTTTAAAATGTTAATATCTAGTGTTTATTACCAAAAGAAATTATTTCTTTTTCTTAAAGTTATTAAAAATAAGTTTTTTTATTTCTTTTCATAGTGCTAAACAAGAATGAATTTCAAGAAAAGTGACAAGGCACTTAGAGCACATCAAGTGGAACATTCTGCAGAATTTCTTAAGAGGAAAGAGGAAATCAGCTCTTTGGCTTCTAAAACTCAGGAAGAATAAATTAGGCTTTTTAGTAAAGCATGTAAGTCAAATTTAATTTCCCCTACAGAGGTAGCATTATAATAATAAAATGCATTCCAAACCAAGGGACTAATAACAGCATAACAAAAATGGCCACATTTAGTAAATGAAATATATGCAGTCCAGTGTGCCATGTAGGGGATTTGAAGTAGTCTTGGCAGGGTGAGGAAACAGACTTGGGTCTCCAAAGAAATATCCACAGAAATACTGCACTGCATGGAATGCTAAGGCCATGAGCAGAGACAATAGTTTTCCACCCAACAAATACTGAGTACCTATTATGTGCCATTTCTTCTTTAGGTGCCAAAACTGAACAAAACAAAAGAAATCCCTCTAACTCCAAGTAGCTATATCCTAATTAGGAAGACAATCAGATAACCAAGGAACTAAAGTGCAAAACGATAAGCAACTTACAGAAATAAATTCAGAGTGCTTAGGGAGTGTGTACAAGCATTGCTTAGCCATTGTAGGGGGATTGGGATACCTTTTCTTGTGGAAGTGATGTATGAACTGAGAATTGAGAAAGAAGTAGAATTTATCCAGAAACGATTTGTAATTCAATACAGTTAAAAGGCAGGGAAAGAGAAGAGACAAAAAAAAGGAAAGCAAAATTGAGTGGTTAAAAAGGGACAGGGTTGGAAAAAATGGCAGCATCAGGTGTCTGGACCACAGATTTCTGATGGCCTTCAGTCTTCTTTCTTTGGCTTCATCTTCAGAGTGAGTAGGATTTTGCCAACCCAAATCAAAAGAATGAGAAGAAATGGAGGAAGAGAAAGCAAATTTGCAGCTCTAACTAATAGCCTTTCAGATGTATTTTGGCTCTTAATCTACTCACTGGAAACCCTTAAGAGGCAAAACGATGCAGGAGGAATGGAAATTGAGTAGTTCAGAAAACCTAGGCTTTTTTATTTATTTTACTTTTTCACACCAACACTGAAAACTACTTGCTATGTAACACTTGACAAATTACAATTTCTTTGATTGTCATGTATTTTCACCTAAAAAATAGGGATAATATACCCCCTTCCCAAGGTTGTTCTGAGAATCAAATAGATGTGAGAGTGCTTTGAAAAATAAGTATGTGTTATTTAGACACAAACCATTATTATTTAGCACAGAGGTTCCCAGATTTCTCTTGCCTGATTCAAATCCATTTACATGTGTATCAAATGTAGAGTCATGCTCACCTGTCTCCTCCTTATAGGGCCTATCAGAATCTGGAGTAGGATGCAGCAGGAGAGAAAAATCTACATTATATTGACAAAAATCCATTTATATAAGGCTATGATCACAGTGAAGGAGTGCTGCTTCTTCCACAAAACGCCCTGAGGTCAAGTCTGTCTATATAAATAAGGTCATAAAACAGAAGTGCACTCAGATTTCAAGAACAGAAATGGTAAGTGTAGGAAAGAGGGCAAGATAAATTTTTCTGAGTAAGCATATAATACTGCACAAATCCACTGCAGCAATTAGTTGAGCCTATTAATGCCACAGTACCTGATGTAGCTGCCCACAGCAATACACCTGTATTTAATGGAATCACAGCTGGAAGGCTTTTGAAGCTAATTATAAGGCACCTTGACAAGAGGCATTTTAAGCCATTGAAGTATGTTTTGTGACTTCTGCCAATATAACCCATACATACCTTGCTAGTTATGTTTGTAAAAAGTAGGTGGTATTTTGCTTGCAGAATTGGGAGGCAAATCCCAGTAATTATCTTTCCAAGCCATCCAAAGCTTCAGGTTATTTTTGTAACCATATATTTATGATCTTTCAGCTCTTCTGTAATTCAAATATTTTATCCAAAATCAGTTTCATAAAAATTATATGTAGTTTGTGATTTTAAATGCTGTGTATCCCTCATATTGAAGAGTTTGTTGTTTTTTGTTTTTTTCTTTTTAATTTCAGCCTTGATTTTCTTTTAAGTTGGTGCTCCTCAAACCTGGCTTTGCATCAGAATCGCTCAGAGAATTTTTTAAAATACTGATTCCTAGGCCCTACTTCTAGTGACTCTGATTTTGTTTTGAAACTGGAAACTTGTATTTTTTAGAAGCATCTCTAGTATTTTGATGCCAGATTCAGAAATAATTACTATCGTCCTCACAATAAGCATTCCAATGATGTGCAACAAGAAAACTGTTGTTCTTTAGAATGATCATTCCCAATTAGGCACCTTTCCTTCCTTACGTCCAGCTGTTAGAGAAGACTATATCTTCTGCTTCTTCCTTATAATAACAGAGAAAAGCTAAATGGGGCACTTGCGTCCTTAGGAAAGTTTATCACCGAAAACTATCATAAACCTGAAATCTCTCTCAATAATCATCTGTTGTAAGGCAAAAACCCTCTTGAATTAAAATTGCTTTAATCAATTAGGACTCTGGTATTTCGGTAACAAATCTCCATGGAAAAAAGTCTCTGATTTAGATTAGTAAAGTGAGATTCTGGTGTGAATATAAGAAGTCTCAAAGTTCTCCCAGATTCCATTTGTGCCTTTATGGTCCCCTGGTGAGTTTTATCACTGGGTAGAATTCACAAACCAAAAATAAAAAAAAAAAGAAAAACATTTCACACGGGGAACTTAACAAGAAAAAACAACTACCTTATAGAAAACAGATGGCTAGCGATACTAAAGCCGAAAGGCTGTCAGCTGTGTCTTCAGCCTGTTTTTCTATGCTTTTATAAATTGGCAGGAAAAACTCCTTACATTTCACTAAAAGGGGCCCAGCCCATAAATGATTTGCTAAAGAAATCTGAAAATCCATGTTTTTCAATATGAAATATGTAAAATGTTTGAAAACTGATTTTTCAATGAGGATTTTTCAAGCTTCTATTTTGAGAGATGATTCTGGGACATTCCTTGAATTATTCAGAAATGAAGAGAAAATGGTGTAAATAAAATAATAATTTTATGTCAAATTTCCTTTTTTCTCATCTTTTAAAATCTCTCTTTTACGTGCAAAAGCTACTAGGTACTAGGTGACATTTACTTTTGTAAATCACCTATTTGATTTCAAAAGGGACAAGTTATAGTGTATGATTTAGGAAATCATTTTCAAATTAGGAATTGAAGAGCAACTTATCTGTATCATACATCCATTTAAACTTCATCCATGTTAAGATTTAGGGGAAGAGGTTGGATTATAATTCAGCCATTTACCAAATACACATATTATGCAGCTACATTAAAGACTGTGTGGTGGGAGGTTTACCGTAATATAAAGTTTATGCCCTCATGTGGCTTACACTTGTTTGAAATTGTGCTCTCTTAATGGTTCTGCCTGCAGCAGTTATAAATTATATGAGCATATGTGACCTTGAAGCAAAGGAAGATGAAATAAATTAATAGTTAGCTAAAAATGTCTGTATTGTGATATTCTAGAAATCTTTTTGGCCATAGAACTAAAATCTTTTTCCCTCCTTATATTCCTTCAGTTTGATTCAACAAAAATGCGTTTTCTGTCTTCTCCATGCCAGACACTGCCCTGGATTGTGGTGATAGGGCAACGGACAAACACATTCCTGAATACTTTTATTTCTGAAAGAAACAGTCTTGTCTAATTTCACATGAGAATTTTCCTTCCTTTAGTAATTTGTGGGAAGATGGAAGTATTTTGTGGTTAGAACCTATGAGTATGCTTTTAGACTATTTACTCCAAATCCTTTTAGTCACTGAGATATTTTAAGAGGTGAGTCTATGAAATAGACTTCTAGAAGTAAGTGTCAGGATTTGAGTTTTGATATACAGCCTCTTTACAAATTTATTTACTGATTTATTTAACAATGATTTTTGAGCACCTAATATGTGCTCAATTTAAAAGGGCATTTACTTGTAAAGACACTCATCATATTTATTCCTAATTTTTGCTTTAATAGCTAGGCTACTCTCCACTGAAGCAGGGTATCTATGTGTTGTTCATAGCTGTACCCCTTACACCTAGCAAGGGATCTAGGACATAGTGGGTCTTCACTGTAGCCACATGAACTAAAAGGGAAATGAGGAAATAAAATCAGAGTATTGCCACCATATTTAAATAGCCACCTTGGCTCTGAAAAGATTTCAAACAGATCTAGCTAGCATCTAGTATCTCTTCTACACAGATAAGTTTCCATTCCATTTTACAAATGAAATATTAGAGTATAAACCAGTCTACAAACCTACCTTTTACACAAGTGCCTGTGAAAAATTTAGTTTATAAAGCCCAAGTCACATCACAAATGCTTAATATATTTATTTTTATTTATTCAACACATTATTGACTACCTTCTATATCTTAGGCACCATATCAATGTTAGAAATATAAGTGTTAACAGACAGAAAAGATTTAGTCCTTAAAGAGCTTATACTCTAGTGGAAAGAAACAGGAAATAAGCAAATATTATACTTACTAACCATACAATATGTCTAGTAGCAAGAAGTGTTACCAAAAATTCAGCAAGGTAAAGACAAAGAGCTCCAGGAGAAAAGTGAATTGAGAGGAGAGCGGGGACTGAGCTTAATTTTGAATAATCAGGGACAAGCTCACAAATAAAGTAGAATTTGAGCAGAGACCTGAGGGAAATAACATAGTATTTTCAAATGACGATTCTTATTGGAATAAATGTCATCTTTAAGTCCTGTCATCATAAAAAGTGGTATCAAGTTCTTTCTTGGGTTACCGGAAATAACTTTGACAGCTAAGTGAATTGTAAAGTTCATAAAATGGAACAATAAGTTTCTTTGCCTAGGTAATTTCCCAGCAAATAAAATGCAAAGCATCAAAAAGGTTTTTTTCTTCTTAAACTGCTCAAGCCATTGTAAAAATTTCACGAAAATATGAAATTCGCTGAGAAAATTTAACATTTGTTTAATTTCTTGGGTGAAAAAAATGTCTTAATGAATTAGATAGTCTTAAGAGACCACAGACAATCAGGATATGTTATTGGACAAAAAATTTAGGGTCCAAGGTTTACTTTGAGATGCCATTGGACATTGAAAATCTCTTTGAGCAAAAACAGCAACTAGGCCTGGAGCTCAATAACAGCTCTGTCTGGACCCGAAGGAGGGAAAATATGTGATAATTTTTTGTGTAATTAGGCTTCAGGAAAACACATTGATGGTACCCTAATGAAATATGCATTAAAAAACTGAATTGTTGAAAAGAACAAATATATCAAGTATGATTCAATTAGTTTTAGAGTTCCTCTAAGAGAATTTCTTCATCCATATACATAATTTTTAGCTAAATTTACCTCTCATACTTGTTAAAACAAATTAGAGGAGAAAAAGAAATTATACGTGTAAATTAGTAATTATGTATTTCTCATAAGAATACCTAAATATTTCAAACAAGGCAATTCTATGTAATATAATTGATAAAATGTGAATACTGAACTTTGGGTTAATTCAGAGGCTGACAGATTTTGATTATAAGGTATCTATTAATTCATCCACTGAGGTTCATATTTTGATTGTCTTGTATTAAAATGTCTGTTCTTTGAAAAAATAAGTCATTGAGTTGTATGGACATGTAATTAAACATAGTCATGGCAAAGTTCTCTGACCTCAAGTGGCCAGAATAGCCACGTTTTGCATCTATTTTTATGATACGTAATCATGGTCTGGTTTTTAGAGACATAAGTAGAAGTTTCCTACCACATCAACATTCCTAAATAACAGTATCATTTTGGTACAGACAACTTCAGAAAATCAGAGAAGAAAAAAGGGAACTTGTTTTTGGAAAGGTTACAAACCTGATTTTACGTTTTTCTTTTAATTTCTGTTAAAACAGAGGAAATGAACTTTGTGTATTTAAGGGAGCTGCATAGACTTATTAGTCCTGGCTGCAGATATTAAGTAAAAACTATCTTAACTTTATAATAATTTGAATGTACTTTTATTTAAGTCAAGTATCTTTAATATCTTTGGAAAAGAAGAATAGTATTGAAAAACAATGAGTGAAATTCAAATAACCAAATCACAATGTATAAGAAAAAAAGATGCATTCAATGTAGTTTTTAACAATTCATCTCATTTATTGTCAAAATTAATAAAACAGGCTGGGTTCAGTAGCTTACGCCTGTAATCCCAGCACTTTGGAAAGCCGAGGTGGGTGGATCACTCAAGGTCAGGAGTTTGAGACCAGCCTGGCCAACATGGTGAAACCCCGTCTCTACTAAAAATACAAAAATTATCTGGGTGTGGTAGTGCACACCTGTTGTCCCAGCTACTCGGGAGGCTGAGGCAGGAGAATCGCTTGAATCCAGGAGGCAGAGATTGCAGCGAGCTGAGATCGCACCACTGCACTCCAGCCTGGATAACAGAGCAAGACTCCATCTCAAAAAAAAAATTAATAAAACAATATTAATTGAGTGTTCCCTGGCTGAGTGTTCTGGAAATAACAGTTGGGGAGATATAAGCAATTTCTCAGAGATAAAGAAGTTGAATATAGAATGCTCTTGGGCAGCAGTGTAGAGATTAGTTTGAATTCATTAACAGGCAAACCAATCTCTACACTACTGCCCAAGTACGACTTTTTTTTTTTTTTTTTTTTTTTTTGAGACCGAGTCTTGCTCTGTCGGCAGGCTGGAATGCAGTGGCGCAATCTCGGCTCGCTGCAACCTCCACCTCCCGGGTTCAAGTGATTCTCCTGCCTCAGCCTCTCGAGTAGCTGGGACTACACCACCTGCCACCACGCCTGGCTAATTTTTTGTATTTTTAGTAGAGACGGGGTTTCACCATGTTGGCCAGGATGATCTCGATCTCTTGACTGCGTAATCCACCCACCGCGGCCCCCCAACAAGTGCTGGGATTACAAGCGTGAGCCACCACACCCAGCCTATTCAACTTCTTTATGAAAGAAAGAACTTCTTGTGGAATACATGCCAGAGGGTGTTGGCTGCCTTTAATCAGACATCTTGAACATCAACTAACAGCATTGCATTTACTTGGTTGATAGTGATAGGGATGGCATGAAGTCTTTTCCTTTGTTGAGCTGCGAAATGGAAAAAGGAAGACTGAATCTTCTGAGACAACGGAATGAACTAAGAGCGTCAGGCAGCAGGGAAAGATTCCATGCAGCAAGCCAGTTAGGTGTTCATTACTCTGGGCCTAATGTAAATTGAGAAGGGTCCATCCTTACGACAGAGGGGAAGCTAGAAAAAGAAGCTAGAGAGACCACTTCACCAACCAAGTGTTAATGACAGAATCAGAGGAGTTCAGAAGTTATGTTTCACACAAGAAAAAGATTTTTAAAGCACCATATCCTGCTCTGAATGACTATTTTAGTTTTCCTTCAGGTGTTTATTTCTGAGTGAAGGATTGGGAAGACATACATGAAATCGCTGCCACACCCTCTGCTTGAAAATGACCATGCAGTCCAGGGAGGACACAGCCATACAGAATTGCTTGACCCTTTATGAAAGCTCTTCTTTCACCAACAAAAAAGAAAAAAATACTAAAAATGATATGCTGATTGATTTCTTTGGAATCAATACAGGTTGTTAGATCTGTCATCCTCTTCATCCCACTCTGAGAGTTATTGGTATACTTGCCCTCCATTCTGTATTAAAGCCAGTCATGCAGAACCTTATGCATTCTCACCAGCCAGCTGGCCTTTACAGAGTTAGTTATAATCTAAGCCTGAAAATTCCTCTAAGGTAGTTGGCAATATAAATATAACCTTTTGGCAATTTGCTAGACTCTATTTTTAAAGTACATCATTATCAGCTGGATGTGGTGGCTCACACCTGTAATCCCAGCACTTTGGGAGGCCAAGGCAGGTGGATCACCTGAGGTCAGGAGTTCCAGACCAGCCTAGCCAAATGGCGAAACCCCGTCTCCACTAAAAATACAAAAATTAGCCAGGTGTGGTGGCACGTGCCTGTAATCCCAGCTACTCGGGAGGCTGAGGTAGGAGAATCGCTTGAACTCGGATGGCGGAGGTTGCAGTGAGTCAAGATTGCGCCACTGCACTCCAGCCTGGGAAATAGAGTGAGACTCCATCTCAGAAATAAATTTTAGAAAGTACATCATTGTCAACAGTTTTGCATAAAGCAAATTCAAAATTGATGAACTCATAGAATAAAAAAATCCTACATGAAAATGCCTTCCTGGAATTTGAGGGTCAGCAAACAACAAACCAAGGGCAAATTTCAGGAAAATGAAACAAGTTATGTCATAAATGCCATTCAAAAGAGTTGCACATACATCTCTTAAGCTTGGCTAAAATCAGGAAAATAGGGTGGACAATCAGTTTTTATTATTTAGAAAATGAAATTTCTTCTAATCCCAATTAATTTTTCATTAGTAACAACATTAGCTTCTGCATGCCTTATTAACCACATGAAATTAGTACAGACTGAGAAGTTATACAAGGCATTAATTTTAAAGTTTTGAAAAGTTATCTTGCCTTTAAGGATAGTATTCATATCTCCAGCTCATAACGTTGGGTTGGCTGGACTACATATAACATATGTAATAAATCTTCAATTCAAGTCACAACTTTTCTTCTTGTTATCTTTCTATTCCTATTTTCCATTTCAGCTTACATCATGGCTGTAGTCAAATAATAAAAAATGACTGGCTTAATTTAAAACCATATACATTCTAATTCAAAACAACCAAATTATAAAAACAGAACCTACCACAGATGCTCATGGATTACTGGACTATTACCTCAACCCTATTAGCAACTTTTTTCTTCCTAACCTGGATATTTAAGTAATACATAATTTATAATGGAGATATTTTATGAGAAAATATTGCCACACAGTCAGTTGTGAGTTATTAAGAGTAACACATGGGCTTTGAACGCTCTATGAATCTGCAGAGTACATATCTGGTAAAAGAAATACTGCCTAAGCTTGAAAATGAAGTACTGCAATGATTTCTGACAAATCCTACTTCTCTGTGTCATAAATATTGGTTACAAACAGTGAACTGAAGAACAAAAGATAATACTCCACATGGCAGTTTATCATTCATAATCCGTAGGCTAATGTCTTTCAATTGTTTTGGCTTCAAGTAGTTGCAAACACTATGCTTATATCTACACATTTAGGAAATCTCCAGATTAATGAAAAAGAACACATATTTTATAAGAGATATTAAAAGATCATTCAGTTTAAAAGGATTTTGTTTAAATTGGTAGTAGCTATAATAGTGGTAATAGGAGAGGCAGCAATAGAAGCTTACATTCATTGAATACTTAATATGTGCTATATATTGTCCTAACTGTTTTATATTCTTGATCTCACTTAATCCTCAATAAACAGTATCATTCCCATGAGGCAACCAACAGTAGCTCACAGCAACTCCCATCCCTCATAAGTGATAGGCCCTGGATTTGAAACAAGAGAGTGTTATTGCAGGTGTAAACCTTTCATCAGTAAGGAGGATCAGCAGAGAAAGAGGTCCACCAGTCACATTTATTCCCTGGATGGGCTATGTTCAGGGAGGTGTTAGAATAAAATGATTGCGAGTGGGATGGGACTTACTGAGCTAGGCCTGACTAAAGCTCTGTTTTCTCAGCACTGAAAGTGCAGAAACTTAATAGTTAAGTCACCTTGTATTTATCAGATTAATTTTTAATGCTAATCTATGCTACACATGTTCATAGGAAATTAATTTGTGTATAAAAAGACAACATATTATTCTGCAAACCAGAAAGTTTCCAGTGAGCTAATCAGCATCTTCTAATGAAAACCTTACTGCTATGTACACAAAAATACCTGAGTACAAATTTACATGTATATAAATACATATTTATATATATGCTTATATATGTATATACTTATATATATGTAAAAGCTTCATATGTGTGTATTGAGGATATAGATATTTTCTTTTACACAGGTGTGGTTACACAGGTTAACTAGGAGGTAGTTATATATACACTCACATTTGGCATCTGTATATTTTTTCTTTTTTATAAATATATATGTATATAAAAATATCATACATGTATAACAATGGAGAAATCTTGTGTTTGTATGTTTACACAGACAGACATAAACACTATGAAATTTTATGATGCTAACAATAATACAATGATATGGAGAGTGGGGAAAAGAGATAGTCAAATTTCCAAACCTGATCTTTCTATACTTTTTAATGTTATATTTTATAATAGTTATTATATTTTATCTTACATTTATTTTTAATACTTGGAATTAGACCTAAATTCAACCTTATTCAAGTAATCACACTGCTTTTTTCCATTTTCTTGCCACAAGTACATTGTCTTGCCAAATATATTTAGTTTGGTTCAGTTAGTAAAACATGGCAAGCTATAAACTTGCTTCACTTTCAGCTACTTACAATCTGAACTTTATTTTCATTTTAACTGCTGATGGCCCAAACTTTTTATTGTCTGATAATATTCATCATTTTGAAAAATAGAAGCCAAATGTCAAATAAAATGCTGAATCTAAATTCCATCTCTTTAGTGTAGTAGAAATCTATATTATAGGTTCTATAATTACAATTATTAATCTACAGTTAACAAATGTTTTCTTCGTTCGTGTTTATTCTGAATAAAACTAACTGGACCAATCTCTTCAAGCAAAAACACAAACATAATACATTAAATATAGCAATAGAATGTGATTTATGGATCTTGAGTGAATTATCATTGGTCTTTTATAGGAAATGACAAGAGGTATAAAATTATCACAGAAAATGAAGTCCTACTCTTACATGAGAGATGTCTTCTGAAGTTTTGAAATCTAATAATAACATATATATCAAGGCCACGCCTAAATCCAAATTCTGTATTGGCTCATGTTACTTGATGAAGTCATTTTGTACAAGTAGCAAGAAGGAAGACTTATGTTCTGATCACTATTGAAGAACACAGGATTAGAGAAATCCAAATTTGGTGAGCTGGGTTGATTTTGTACTGAAATTTTAAGTAATATTCTTTTGATGTAGTCACACATTGTGTATTAAACAAAAAATGATACTTTTCACTTAGAGGAAAATGCTTTTTCTTATCTTATTAATTTGTTAGCCATGGATCCAGGAAATATTTTCCTTTCTCCTCTACAATAGAAAAAACAGCAGCACATGGACTAGAACCTGAGCTAGCTTCTAACTGTGCAGAAGACAGTGAGTTGGGGGCGGGGGATGGGTAGATGGGCTGTTGAACTGGGGCTTGTGCAATACTCATGAAGGCTTGAACCACCATTCAGCACAAGGTGATGGGTGCATAAATGATGTGTGCCTAGGATTTCTCAGACCTGGCAAATTTTAAAGAGAAGATAGAAATCAATATTTGTGTTTGACATCTCTCAATTGTTTGATGTTAATGATGTAATTCTAATAGTTTTTCAAAGCACTGTTTGAGCCCAGGAAAATATCTGTGTGGGCCTAATCCAGTTGAGGACTCCAGGTTTAGGATATACATATATAAAATGGAGTCTTGCTCAGTCACCCAGGCTGGAGTGCAGTGGCATGATGTCGGCTCACTGCAACCTCTGCCTCCCAGGTTCAAGCAATTCTCCTGCCTCAGCCTCCTGAGTAGCTGGGATTACAGGTGCATGCCACAATGCCCAGCTAATTTTTGTATTTTTTAGTAGAGACAGGGTTGCACCATGTTGGCCAGGCTGATCTCGAACTCCTGACCTTGTGATCCACCCTCCTCGGCCTCCCAAAGTGCTGGGATTACAGGTGTGAGCCAATGCACCCGGCCCGGTATATTTTTAAGGTATTATTTCCAGCCTCTGTCTAGCTCTACCCTTATCTTACTTATTAATATGTCTTGATTTGCTTCTGTTTATATATCACATATAGGAAAAATCTGAGAAGAAATGCTCAGATTTCTTCTCAGGCGATTCTACTGTCTCTGCTTCCAAATATTAACTCATACATGCTTAATTGAAATATATATAGATATTTGTATATACAACTATTAGTACACACATATATATTTCCTTGCTCTGTCAGCTGACAGAACACAGAAGCAACAACTCCCAAGTAGCAATGAACACACCTAGGTCCCAGATTGTGGTTTCTGATAGCATTCTCCAATATAAGGAACAAGAGCTCTTTGAATAAACAGCTGATTCTAGGACTGGGCCAATAAATATACAAAACGAACCTAGAACATCTTATAGTAACCGAAAGTAAAAAAGTACATACACACAAAAAAGCCCACATGATGGGGATATATCAAAGGGACACAGAATACAACTGAAAGACTTTCCAGTGGCCAAAACTGAAACAGTTTGACAAATAAAATAAGCAAAGTAGCATTCAAATATCACCAAAAATGTAAAATAAATATCTATGAGTCCATACCGATGTAAATACATACAAAATATAAAATAGAATAGGACAAATCTCCTATGCAGAATTGCAAATGATTTATGTAGCTACCCCACCCTTTAAAAGTTGAAGAGTAAGTCTCCACTCCTTAAGTAAGAACTGTATGTACATAGTGGCTTCCTTCCAAAGGGTACAGAATGGAAAAGGGAGGAAACAGCAAATTTACAGTGAAGACACAGGACAAATACCACCCCAGACAGGTGATCAAATTTAACACCAGGCTTGGCGCGGTGGCTCACGTCTGTAATCCCAGCACTTTGGGAGGCCGAGGCAGGAGAATCACTTGAACCCAGGAGGCAGAGTTTGCAGGGAGCTGAGATCACGCCATTGCACTCCAGCCTGGGCAACAAGAGTGAAACTCCCTCTCAAAAATAAATAAATTAATTAATTATTAAAGTTTAATATCAGTAATAATAATTCATGTTGATAGTTGAGAATGGCACTTTACCTCCTCCCAACACCCAGAACTCCAGTCTAATCATGAAAACAAAAATCATACACATCCTAATTGAGGGACATGGTACAAAATATCAGGCCAGTACTCCTGAAAAATCGTCAAAATCCTAAAAAACAAGGAATGTCTGGAAACTGTCATAGCCAAAAGGAGCCTAAGGAGACATGCAACTAAATGTAATATGGGATCCTGTGAGGGATCCTGGAACAGAAAGAGGTCATTAGACAAAAACTAAGAAAATCTAACTAAAGTATGACTCTAGTTAATAGTAAAATATCAATATTGGCTTATTCGTTGTGAATGTAAGATGTTAAGAAGAGGGAAAATTGGGTCTAGATTATTTGAGAACCCTTTGTACTATCGGTACAATTATTTTGTAAATTTAAAACTTCTAAAATTAGAAAGTATATTTTAAAAGTGACCAGATGTTGGCTGGGTGCAGTGGCTCACGCCTGTAACCCCAACACTTTGGGAAGCCAAGGCAGGCAGATCACGAGGTCAGGAATTCGAGACTAGCCTGGCCAATATGGTGGCACCCCGTCTCTACTAAAAATACAAAAATTAGCTGGGCATGGTGGCGCGCACCTGTAGTCCCAGCTGCTCAGGAGGCTGAGGCAGAAGAATCACTTGAATCCAGGAGACAGAGGTTGCAGTGAGCCAAGATGGCGCCGCTGCACTCCAGTCTGGGCGACACAGAGAGACTCTATCTCAAAAAAATAAAAAAATAAAAAAGTGACCAGATGTTAAATCATGTCCAAAATACAATTGGTTAGCATTTCTATAATTCTCCAGTTATAAACATCAAGAATAAAAATAAGAATCAAAGTGTAAAATATGTATTTATACCAAAATAATCACACTTTAACATATGTACATACATGATACGATACCATATAGGGCAGAAAATAAAACTAATATTTTCCAGCAATTGTAAACAGAAAAAACATGCCCAGGGCCTCAATGAAGAACACAGCCCTCTGATTCTACATTGCCTTTTTCCCTTTATCTTGTCTTAAGCAGATTAGAGGACTCTTCTGAATATTAATACATTTTAAACCTGGAGGCACATTTGGCATTATATTATAAAACAAAGATATGTTTATAGACCAGAAATTTAAACAAAGAGACACCACTGTGCTTCAACAAAGCTTATAATAAAAATACAGAAAAATCTATGTATGTATATGCACATATATATATAGAAAGGAAGAAAGAGAATAGGGAAGTTGATCTTTATTCAAAATGTACAAAGCTATAGTTACAGCTTTACATTTCCTTACTATTTCCCTTTTAGGTTATTATCTGTATCCCCTCCCCTTCTTTTTATTAAATCTTATTTCTCATTGTAGAGGCTTAATGTATACTAAGAAAAATAGTTTCTAGTATCAGAAGACATAGCTCTAGTAATTACCATAGAGAGAACTTGAGTAAGTAATATATTTTTCTAAGGCTCAGTTCTTCCAAATTAAAAATTAGTTTTAATAATTCTTATTGCAAGTGAAATGG
This sequence comes from Homo sapiens, assembly GCF_000001405.40. Classification (NCBI taxonomy): domain Eukaryota; kingdom Metazoa; phylum Chordata; class Mammalia; order Primates; family Hominidae; genus Homo; species Homo sapiens. The sequence continues at coordinate 189,140,869 of NC_000002.12, forward strand.
ATAAATTACATGAAAAAAGCATTTTAAACTATTAAGCACCACACAGATATTACTTGTTAATTAACCTAGATTCAAATATTTTATTCTAAAATATACTAAAATTTTCACCTTGCCCACTTAAGATTTAAAAATACTTCAATGATAAAATCAGCATTCTTTTATTAAAAGGAACTATAAAATAGCCAGATGTATTCCTTTTAATAGAGATGTGCTTTCAGTGAGGTATTCTGGGAAATGAAGCAGGACTTTGACAGGCAGAGATGGGGCTGGGCAATATGAGCTGAGGATTCCCCATGGTCTGGTAAGGAAGCCGACTTGGAAGTTAGCTGGAAATATAGTGTGCAGTAGACCAGTTAAAAACATTGGTGAATTAATATGCGTAAGGTTACCATTAATAATAATAATAAATACCATCTAGTGTTTACTTTATACAAGGCAGTTTTCAGATGTTATCTGATAAATGCTCACGACTATTCAAGGTAGAAATTATTTGCCTATTTTGCCTTATTACATATAAAGGGATTGGGGTTCACAGGGGCGAAATGATTTCACAGGCAGTGAAAAGTCAGTTTTCAGAGCCTTATCTTTGCAGATGCATTCTTTCTATTACTGTAACCAAAGACTATGCTGAGTATATATTAATATATACAATTATCTGACTGGGATAATTTATTTATGGCTCCGGTTAAAGATTTCCTCTTACCAAAAAATGTAAAATAAGTTCATATAGTCACATGGGTCACGTAGTTAATGCAAGTTTTAAAGTTAGCACGCTCATTTCCCAACTTCCCCCGAATTCTTGAAATTTACTAATGCTATTTCAAAATAGCGAAATGCACTGTTAAATTTCTTCTAGATTCTTAAGGTGTATTCTGACCTAAAAAATTAAGCAAACCGTCCTTTTAATAGGATCAAGGAGTTTATAGAGTTTAATAGTGAAGCCATCTCTTTTTCACTTGAAGAAATCCAATTCTGCATATTTTGCTTGCATGATTTGATAACGAAATGTATGTCAAGGATGAAAGACTAAAGGTTGAGCTTCATCAAACTAAGGAAAAATATTTAAGATGTTTTATGGATAGTAATTTTATAAATAATGTCAAATTCTTTTCTGGAATTTCCTATGCCTATGGTGAGAGATAATATAAATCTGATATAATCAAGAACTAGATTTTTCCCTATTATATGTAAATGTTAACATTGTATAGACTTGATAAGTTATCATTGGAATGGATACAGATTATTCCAAAATATTTAAAGTTTAATCTATATGTTTTCATGTTATGATTGACAATAATTTTAAACAAAATGTTTTTAATAATAAAATACATTTTAGTGCAAAACAAGATTACTCTTCGAACTAGGTATATTTAAACATCTATACTTCCCTTGAAAATCCTTGTTTTTTTATTTCTAAAATAAATGCTTAACATTTATGATATATGTATACCATAGATTATATTTTCCATACTGCAGCCAACTAGCTCACCATAATTATAAATTTTTTATATCTGTGCATATCATTTACCAATATTTATGTGTTTTGTTAGACTAAAATCTAACATTATTTATACAAATGTACTATACATAGACTTAATAATTGAATGCACTTATTAAGCACTCAATAAATGGTAGCCTCAAAGTAATGATTATCATTATATTAATGAATGTCCACTAAAGAATATAATTTAAATGCTTATTATCTTATGCCCACTCTTATATAAGGTCAACCAAAAAATTCTCTCCATATTTTACCTTAATTAATTCCTGTTCATTCTGCTTTCAATAGGACAGACATCCTTCAGATTTCTTTATACTATGATTACCCTGCAATCTATCTTAAACATAGCTATCGAAACTTCTTCTTAAATGGCCCTTCAATTGTGTCACCTTTCTCAAACCTCAGCAATTGCCCTCAGTCGCACTCTGGCCCAATAACAACTTTGTCCTCACCTTCAGAATTGTGTCATTTTTTTTTTCACTCTGGTTATTGTTCACACCTTACAAATCTCATCAACTGCTTTTTGACCTACTTGACTATTCTCTGGGCTATTCATTCTCTTAAATATTATTTTTATATACCAATGAAAAATCTACATTCTTAAGTAAATATTTTCCACATCAGCCATGATTGTTCGATCTCTCTCCTAATGTGTAACAAATAAATTTCTAGGTGCTTAGCCTCTAGCTTCATGCCACACAGAGTATGCAGTGTCAGCTACTTCATAAGCCACCAAGCCGCCTTGACTTGCCTGCATTATCTATATCACTGTTTGGAGGGCTGTTGTATATTGTTTGCAGTTTGTACACTTCACAAAGACTCCAACTGAGGGGGCCAGTGGGAAATGACATTCAATCCAAGCTCTCCTTGTCATACTATGAACCCTAGCTTGGGGCTGTATCTACTGGAAGAAGGAATGCCTTTTATTTTGCTCCTGTCCACTTGCCTAGGGTCACCTGGAGGTGGCACTGTTTTCTATTTCAGACAGAAGTCACCCAGAGGTGGCACTGTTTTCCATTTCTGTTTCTAATGTTATTTCAGACAAAAGGTGTATAAAGGCCTACTCTAACCCTGTAACTGAGGTCAATATTTCCCACTGTAAAATTTTCTGCCTAACTTAATCCCATCCTAATAAAGTCTCTCTCATATCCTCTATTAGAATGAGGCTTCTTTGATGGCATTAATGAAGTATTAATTCGACAACTAGGTTCTAAATATCCATTGTGTCCATTATACTATGATTACAAAACATATGAACAATCTGTTATTAAACAACTCATACTCTGATTAGGGAGCTAAGCCCATGCATGAAACTTTTAAACAAATATATACCTTGCTTTGGTGTGAAGTCTTCCAAACAATGAAAGAGAGACGTGTGGAGGTTAGAATAACTAGAAAAGACTTCACAGGGGAAACAGGTCTTAAACTGGACTTTGAAAAAGGAGTAAGATATTACTAGACTGTAGGAAGAAATGAAGACATTATAATAACATAAAAAAATCCTACAAGTGGTATATCATACGTATTATGTGTTCAGTCTTTAAAAAATATATAGCTGCAGAACTGGAATTCTTAAAGAACTAGACATGGTAATGAAGATTAATATATTGAGATCGCCAGGGTAGAATTTTAAGTTCAATCTGTTTCCCAGATCTTTAGAGGAGGAAAAAAAAGAAACAACGTAGTGTTTGTATTTATCATCTGCAAACCAGATGGTTATGGCAAGGGGTGTGGACATTCAAACACATTCTTCCCTGCAAGAAACCATGTTGCTGTGATGCAAGACTCTTGGGCCTCTGAAAACAGTGAACATAAAAGTACTTAAGAATTTTCTGAACAATTCAAAAACTCAAAAGACAGACAGATGAAAGAGAAAAAAAAGGTACAGTTTGACACACAGTTTCAGTAAACAAGTACATAGTTGGGTATTTGCTTAGTTTTACCTAGTTAGGAGAGTACAAGTTTTGTTTCTGAGCAAGAATCTTCTCAAAGGAGAGGGGAGAAAAACAATCAGTGCTTATTTACTGTAAATTTTGAATTAGAGAACTGGTCTGTGTTTGTATAGTCATGTATGTTAGCTTCATAAGGACACTGTAGGTTGCAGTATCCTTGTTGTACCCATACAATGCTGAATGAGTGAGAACAAACAAAAATATATGTGCATACATACATATATATGTTATATGTATATATTATATTTATATATTTTTCAAGACTGAAAAAATCCATTTGCCATCTTCTTGAATTAAAAAATACATATATTTTATATATATACTTTTATCAGAGTTTTTTAATCCTAATGAACTGGGAAGATGATAAGTGCTTATAATTCCAACAAATAATGTGAAACACCAGATGCACTAACCAGTCAGCGTGAGTAGAACATCCTGAGCAGTAAGCACAGTTGGGGCACTAAGCAGGCCTGACTTGCTAATGTAGATGAAGAATTCTCCATTTGGTTCTGAGTGGGAACAGATGCTTCATATCTTTTAGAAAGGAAATTACATTCTACAGAAGAGGAACTCAACACTGCCAAATTAATAAGATGAGAGATTTCATCATCTCCTGGAATACATTAGCATGCAATTTTCCTCTTGTTCCAATGATCCTTTCTGAACTAGCCCTTCTTAGAGTTTAGAACCTCATGGAAGCCCGAGCTGACCTAGTCTACAACCAGAATTGCCTTCAGAGCATTGCAAAATACTTTCTTAATTCCTATATGTATGAAACAGTAGAAGCCATGAGTGTTTCCATGTTTGTATAAAAACTTTCTTACTTCAGACTCTGAGTAAGCGGGATGTGAGAACACAGAAGGATTCTTGCACTTAGAAAGGGTTAGAAACATGACATGGGAACTATACTCCAATAGAAATTTTACTTAAATGAGTAAAGTAATGTGAAAAATTGCACACGTCAGGAATTAAGAATGATACATTTCTTGACCATCTCTTTCTTCTTGTTTATTTTTTACATGGATTCAAGGCAGCGTTCACTGAATTTCCTATTTAAATAGTAAAATACAGTAATGCAAATATACTATAATTCCCTAAAATAATACAACTAAGCTTAAAATATAAAATATTCACTTGCATAACCCCAAATATCTATTGAATATCTAATTTACAATTATGTATTGCTATTTGGATCACACACTAAAACTTTATGAACACAAAAACCTGACCTGCAATTTTCTTGCTATATAATCAGTGTCTATTATATTGCCTAGATCATTCTGGGCTCTTTAAAAACTATGGCCAATTAATGAGCTGAAGAAGATCTTATTCAGAAGGATTTTTATTGGGCAAGTACCATATTTTAAAGAAAAATACATACTTTTCTAAGCTACTTAGAGTATAGGGGAAGACCCATATAATAGGTGAAACCAGGCTACAAAAGTATATGAGATAAGGCATAATTATTATTTTCTGAAAAGGAAAAAAAGGAGAAAATAGATAGATAGTCCTTAATACTGTGATCCTTCTTTAGAACCAAAAATCTTCAGTTAAATTATTAAATTTCCAAAAACTTGACATGAGTGGAGTTTGCCATGTACATGAGTGAGGTAATGACTCTCACATCTGGACTCATAAAGAGCAAGACAGTAGAATTACATTGAAGGCAAGGACCAAGGATTTAGGAAGGTTACATGCAATTTAACTGAAAAGGCACCTACAACTAACATCTTGATTAGAATGATGATATCTTCATACATTGATCGGATGAACAATGAAGGAAATGGGAAAGGTATTCCAGAAAGATCTGGGAGAAGGTACAGTTGTGAAATTTTACCATTTAGTAAGAATTGTACTGCAAAAGAAAAGAAAAAGTTCAGTGGGAAGTGAATGAAGATAGAATAATTAGGGATCAAATTATGAAAGGCATTGGTTGTTAAACTAAAAAATATGAACCTTACTTATTCTATGGGCTACAGGGACACTATTTAAGCAAAATTATCTAAATAGTGTATAACAAGAAAGAAAGTGAAAACATTGGATAAAGTATAAATAAGGTGAATTTATATTGTAATCCCATCATAGACATACAGAATGCACATTGGAGTACAAGAATACAGATGATTACAGACATCAGTTTGCCAAAATTGGATTTTCCGAGTCTAGGCAGACTTGAGCAGGAATTGATGAAGGTTGTATCATGGGTGCCCACTTCTGTCTACACAGTATTCAAAATGATTAAGCCTAGCATTTGGCAAGAAAAAAGGAATGCCATATAAAATAATTTAATTTTAGTAAAGGGAACTTAGGAAAATCTGGCCATTATTAAAAAAGAAGTAAAAAGAAATAGTTTAAAATAAAATGAACCACGGGACGTCTGGAGACTATTTTAAAATACATCATTAGAAGCCCAAGATGAATTTTTTGTCATGAATCATAAAAACAAGCCAGATGCATTAAAAAATGCTTTCACAGCAAACTATTACAGTAAAAGCTGCCTTCATAGGAAGAAACAAGCATCTAAATCAAATTTTCCCAAGTCAAGGAAGAAAGGGAAGCCTCTAAAATTTGACACATCAGACATAACTGGAAATTAGACCAGAAAAAGATTTGTGAAACTATCTTTGTGAAACTATATTTGTGAAAAAGATTGTGAAACAAGTAACTTCAAAGCCAACAATAAGAAGACCCTTAAAAATGTCAAACAGAGGAAGGAAACCAATTCCGGAATCCAAAGAAATCCTAAATATAAAATTGTATTATTGGGGTAATACTAAAAGAATAGTTAGTTCTTTTCTCTTTTAATGTATTCTTTTGACGATTTCAACACCTAAACTACATATTAAATTATGTGTGTCCAAAATACTGGATCAAATTGCCAAAAATGCATTGTTATATTTGACACAGATAAATACCTAAGATGCTATAACATCTATACGAAAATTATGAAAAAACGTAAGGGTTAAATGTTGAACAGTAAGCCAAGACATATGACCTACCAGTAACAAATTAAGCAAACCAGAAAAGACAAGTTGTCAATATGATCCCCATTCATAAAGACAGAATTCAGCGAAGACCCTGGAAATCTAAGGTTTACTTTCAACCAGGTGATCTGGTGGAATCTGTTACAAAGGAGAGAATAACTATCTTCTTAACACAATACAACTCACAGAGGAATCATGGTACTGGGAGGGAAAATGATGCTTGAATACTTGTATGACTAGGTTCATACAAAAACTGCTTGAAGATTGAATCACCATGGGATTTGGAAAGATGTTCTAACATGCATAAGGAGCTGTCTTAGAGTCAAGAAACAAGTAAAGACCAAAAAAATATTTCTTCAGGTGGAAAAATTCAAATACTGAGGGCTTCCTAGGACTACAGTGCTATAACGTCTCTAGAAAAAACATTACCCAGAGAATGTTCTGGGCTTACAGATAATATCAGAGTGCTTCTTTACCTTGCAGGCCATCTACATGCCTTAACTAATACCCCAGGGCCCCAGCAAAGTCCCAAGGGTAAGGAAGTAGGTGGAGAAGGAGGAAGAGAAGCTTTATCTCCTCTCTGATGGTCCCGGGACTCTACCAAATGAGTTGGTGGAGAATTTCTTGAGGAGTCTATCACAGATCCTTAGAACCATTTCTGGATTATCCTAAACTTCAGACATTTAAAAAATGTCAATGATTATCATTAAAAAGCGCCATGATGCTCTTAGTATTAATAGAAAGAGGACAAATGAACTTCTTTGTGGAAAATGCACTTGCATTCACAAAAAATTATGTTACTATTCACTGGGGGGAGGGAAACCCAAATTTCACTTAGATGACAAGCTATATTATGATGTGAAAGACCCAGAAAATGATCTCAGAGTTTTTGCACAGTCATACTTTGAGATAGCCAAGCAAGATGCTAGTTTTATAGGCCAACAATTATTTGTCAAGAAAAAAATATGCATATATATAGTAGTATCTGACACTTAAAGTCATAATATGGGCAGGTTAGAAAAACATCATGTGGCATAAGTTGACACATGTAAGAAAAGACACATAGAGGTGGAAAGAATCAAGCAAAGGGCAACCACAGACCCAAGGGAGGTAAGAACTCTGGATGAATCCATGCAGAAGACACAGGTCTTCTAAGCTGGGAAGATGAAACCAAGAAAGAGTGCGATAGGCCAGGGAAGTCTACTAAACTGTGAAGGGTGTGAATTGAGACTTAAAAGATGTAAAAAGAGGATTAAGAAGAGAAAAACATTATAAAGTTAGTAATAAACATGAGTCCATATTGCCCTCCAATAGGGTGTCAGAAAATTATGAAATGCTATAACAATCAAAAAGACTTAGCTAAACCTAGGAATGCATATTCTAGAATCATAGATTTAGGTGAATCTTCATTTTTCCATAAAGCACAAATTTAATCTCATATATGGAGTTACAGACCATAGCCTTAACCAAAAATGGAAATTCCCAAAATATATTAGTGGTCATTAAGCTCATTTTAATGTTGACATGGTCTTCAACATGAAATACTGATTATGGCCTGGTGCAGTGGCTCACGCCTGTAATCCCAGCACTTTGGGAGGCCGAGGCAGGTGGATCACTTGAGGTCAGGAGTTGGAGACCAGCTTGACCAACATGGCAAAAACCCATCTCTACCAAATATACAAAAAATTAATTGGGCGTGGTGGCATGCACTGTAATCCCACCCACTGGGGAGGCTGAGGCAGGAGAATGACTTGAACCCGGAAGTCAGAGGTTGCAGTGAGCCGAGATCGCACCACTGCACTCCCACTTGGGCGACAGAATAAGACTCATTGTACTCCAATAAAAGTTTTGAAAAATGAAAAATACTCCAGCCAAAGACATTTCAACTTCCTTCTTATCAAAAAGAAAACTTGATGTGCTAATGTTAGGTGAAGATTTTCCCATGATAACATCTTATATGTTGCTTCAAAAACTAGTGAAAACAATAGAAATAAGGTTCTATAAACTTCAAACAAAATTGTTTTAGAAAGTGAAATAAATGAAGTAATACTTGCTGATTAATAATATTGGAACCTTAATATCTGATTGATAACTAAAACTTTGGCCTCCACCATCTAAAAGAAATTATTGGTAAATATATTTAATATTGGCTCTATATTCCATTAAACTCTGAAAGTCTATGATTTCTTAAATAGTCACATGGAATGCAATTTCATTTGCAGAGGTCTTGTGTATATTTTACATTTTTAAAAATCGACTACACTATTAACCAAAAAAGTCACATATGAAAAAGGTTAATTATAAAATTAAATTGAACTTGGCTAAACATCAACATTATTCTGAAATTTCAAGAATGAAGAAACTATAAGTGAATTTTAAAAATCACTAATGTTTTCAGGGGGTTAAGATCTAAATTCCACATTTGCATTTTCCTAAGTGTTTAGTGGTTTCAAGACTGTTTGGAAGCCTAGCATTAGAAATTTCTATCATCAAGTCATTAACCTCCAGAATAAAAACACTGGCAATCCTCTTTCTTAGCCAAGTTTTTCTAGAGAAAATCTCCATGGTAATGCTTATTAAAATAGAACCTTTTATTTAGTGTTCTTTGTAAAGTCTTAGTAGAAACTTAAACATACACTTTTCAAAAATGATATATGTGTCTTATGGCAATATAATTTCAAGCTTGGTACAATGCAAGGGCTTTAAAATCTCTCTGTGAAGTGTATTTTATGTGACCCTCAGTTGTTATGGTTTGCTTTAATTTATGTAATTATGTATGAGGTCAATATGGAAAACTAGCCCTCACTCATTACTGGCAAACATTCCTGAACAATGTGTGTGCCTTCACGAATCAAACTAACAGGCTCACAGTCTATAATAAGGTCAAATGAAAGCAAGCAATTGTGCAAACACTAAACAGTTGTGATTGTTTACTGTATTACAATCGTACTTTAGAGATGACTTAACAGGCATTAAATTATATCCAGAATGCTCTCAGATGACAATCAACTGAGCACACAAGGCAAACAGAGCTCCTGCTAATTGCCAAATATCAGGACACAAATGCAACTCTCATTCTGTCATATCAATATAAAAGTCCTTAGGACACAGTGCTGAGGTGATTGCTGTTTGGAATTTAATCAACTGGAGTTCTCTTGGACATGCTAATTTTTTATGTAAATTTTAGTTTTTAAAAAAATTCTCAAAAATTAAAATGTTTAGTGTGAAATGCCAGTGTCTCCATGGACTGCTATTATTTTCCATCTTATAATAAAATCGACCTAAATCAAGCTTGGATTTCTTGATATAACCTCCTACTCCCATTTAAAAAACCGTGAAAGATAAAAAGTTTTCTGTAGACAATAAATGTTTCTTGATGTTTATTGGAACCTCTACTATTTTCAGATCTTTGTTCTAGAATGAACTTAGGAAGCTTATCTTTGGTTCCTCAAACACTAAATTAATTTATACAGAGCATCAGAAGAGAACAAGAAGCTATTTAGTCCAATTTCTTAGGAATTTCTTCTATAGCATCCATAAGTGGCTGTAAAGCTCCTGCTTGGTTACTTCCAGAGACAGAGAATTCATTACCTCAAAGGGAACCCATTGTATTCTCAGTTAGGTCAAAGGTTAAAAAAGATTTTCCACAGGGAATCCCACATAACATTTTAGAAAGTGTTTCCATGCATAAATATGGAGGACAGTAGTCTGTAACGTAATTTGATGAAAAAATCATGGATTACCTGGCAGCCAAAATTGGCTTATTATTCTTTCTACCATAAGGAGCTACCATGGCCTATAATAAGAAATAAATGTAACCCATTTCCACACAGATAATCACTGCAAACATTTTAAGACACACTAACCCCCAGCATCTTACTCTTACATTCTTTGAAATGAACTCATGCCCTTCACCCCTTCCATTAAAATAGAATAAACACATTCTTACCTGGATATACATCCAAAATGTACCTTCTTTAAAGCAAACTAATTTCTATGGCAAATGGTGTTATAGTAGGTCTTTAAATTGTTTATGTTTTATATTTAATAAAGGCATAATGACAAATGAAGCAATCTTCAGAGCAAAGACAATCTAGATAACAGATCTTCACAAGAAAAGCAATAGTGATAATAATTGGGTTTTGACTGTCTTTTCTGTTGAATCCATGACTGAAAACATACATGACGGTAAATGTTTAAACAGTAAGGATGATCTAGATAACTGGCAAATCAAATAAACACCTGACATTTAGTTTTTGCTTCTATACAATTCATTTCAGTTAGTTTACCCCTCTTCCATGATAAGTTGCCAAGGTGTGTTTAAAATATAAGCAAGGCCATAAAAACACATATTCATCTGTAACTCTTTTTCTTACCTTCTTCACTGTAAAACCCACTAGTGTACCTTCTCTAATTTTACTCTCTATAATTATTCTTAAAACTCTGCTGTAATGGAGCCTCTTCAACTGACTGCACACACCTTATATACTTCTCAATAACTTTGGTTAAACTCTATCCTAGTAAGAAATTATATACAAGCTATATTTATTTAAAAGCCACTTTACTTTAAAAATCACATAACTATAGAGTTCACTTCAAAGTGTACTGTTGGGTCTAAGACCCCAGTAGTTATATTAGAAAGATAACTATTATGCTATTTTGCTTACTTCATAGCTTAAAAAATTAATCTCTGTTTTTGAGTCAGTAGAGGGAAAGAGTCAAATAATTACAATGCAATATGAACAGAATTCTTCAAAATCTCAGAGGAGAACTAGGAAGGGAGCCATCTACTCTGCTTTAAGTACTTCAACACACATGATTTCATTCAATCCTTACACACTGCAAAGTAATCAGAGCAAGTATTCTCATCCTTTACATTTTTTAGATATGGAACCTGACACTTACATGTATAATTTAAAATACAAGATGATGCAGCTCATAGATGAAAAATCTAGGATTTAAGGTGAGAGTTTCTAACTTCAAGTACAATAATAGGTAAGGTCAGCACTCCATGCCTTCCGGGCTACAAGTTATGATACCAAAGAGTTCTAAATTGTATCTCTGTGATGTTTCCTCAGAGAAATTAAGATGTCAAAGGGCATGGACAGATAATATGGTAAGTTGAAATGGCCATACACACAATGTATGTGAAAGCCAACACACAATGTAGCTCAACTCAAAATACAGACTTCAAAACCTTTCCCAGAGAATTCACAGTGGAACACAGTCAGGTGTCCAGGTGTGGAATGAGCTAGTTCCCTACAGCGATCCCTTTCTGTTATCCTGGCTCCTGTTGCTCCACCCCCTGGGAAAATAGTTGCAGTATGAATTAGATTTTTAGGTTCCAACTCCCGCAGAGGCTGGCTTTTTGGAAGAGCCTGGCTTTTTCTGGCCCAGGACCAGGCCTAGCACAGAGATTGGAAAAATCTCTTTTTCAGAAATGAGCTAGGGTGGAGAGCATTGTAGAAGTAAGTTGGGGGAGGGTGGCGAGGAATCAAAATGATTTAGAAATGAAGGTCAAAGATCTCACCAAGATGTGAAGGCAGATGGGGAATTTTATTTATCTTGAACTGCTTGGAACTGGTTGGTTTGGGATGGCAGTTAATAGTCTGCACTGTAAAATCAACACGTGTTTAAAAAAAAGTTGGGGGAAAAGAAACACTGCAGATATTCAGAGTGTAAAAGGACATATTCAATCAAGGTTGGATTTTTATTTTTTGTATTTTCTCATCTTTTAGAAAACAATCCCAAGTGGCTGCCTGATTTGTAGACACAGTATCTGGTTGCCTATATGATTCTAAACCAAGAGCCCACAAAAAGTCAACCTAGCTAAACATTTTCAATCTGTGAGTCTGCCAACATTACATGCAATTCTCAGATGTCTTCTGAAAATGTATTTTTCCTAACTGGGCAAAAAACGTAATGTTACTTCTGGAAATTGGTTGGAAGGAGTCAGATGGAGAAGAAACCTATTCTTGCATGCTCTTCACATACATTATTTCATTTGGTTCTCACAACAGCTATTTGGTAATAATATTATAACCTCCATTCTACAGATGAAGAAACTGAACATTCTAGAGCTTACATGATTCAGTCAAGACCATCCTGGTAGTCAAGAATGAACTCAAGATTTGAAGACAAATCTGCTTAACCCCAGTCATGCATGCTTCACTAACCCATAATATCTAACAAGCATATTAGCCAGGAAGAGTTTTCCCAATTAACATAATGACATCAATAGTTACAGGAAAGATAATGAAGAAAGCACAGGAAAGTGTAAGTGGGGTGCACAGGGGTGATAAGCTTGGGTGTGCATCCTCATACAGAGGCAGATATGCTTTTACTACATGTAATTACTGGGGCTCTAAAGTTTGTTCTCTTGGCTCAACTATCTCCCCTCTCTGGTATCTCTCTATATACTCTCTGGTTTCTGCTTGCCTTGCTTTCCATGGCCTGATCCCTCTTACATCAGTGCTTCACATCCCTTTTGGTTGTTCTGGCAACACGTTTCAGTTTTCTGTAGCAGTTGCCAAAACAAGCATTTGAACATCTGGAAATCATCCTCCATCACTTTCACTGGTAAGACGCATTTTCCTTAAAAGGTAGTTCCTGTATAGACCCCCTAAGATTCTGCATTGCCTTTGAATAACAGCTTTCCAATATTCCCTGGCTATGGAAAATTGCAACCTACTGACTGCAAACTCTGGCACTTTCAGTCATATTAATAACTACACATTTTATGAGTCAATGTTATAGTGTCTTGAAGTAATACATTTTTTAAAAAATTAAGACAAGCAAACAAAAAAGGCACACACACATACACACATATGCATGCACATATGCAGACAACTCACAGCTCTTTGGATACCTTAAAGGAGATTACTATATCAGAAACTCTATTTTTTATTCTCTAAGACATGATATTTGAAAGTCAATGTCATTAATATAAACTACACAGCAGTAATGAAATGAATGCATAGCAGTAACACCAACAAAACTATAGTATGAAGTTAAAGTTCTAGCTCAAAATTTATTCACAGGACTTAACAAGGTTTAATAAGGATGCGCTCATTCGCTAGGAGAATCATAATTCATGACTCCTGCTTCTTCTTCTTCCACAAATATGATGTGGGTTGATACCAGAGTGGAATCAGGTCCACAAAATGACCTGGCGAATGGCTCTGATACTGGACAAGTGGGCAGTCCCCAGCATAGCAGAATCTTGCTGGTTTCCCTCTTCCCTCACCCTCCCTAGCATGATGAGAAATTGCAGTTTAATTCTCCACCTGCAGAATCAATGGCCTCTGTGGCCGTCAAAATGAACCATAATTTTTATTTATTTAGTTTTTTAGATGAAATCTCGCTAGGTTGCCCAGGCTGTTCTTGACTCAAGCAATCTTCCCACCTCGGCCACCCAAAGCACTGGGATTTCAGGAGTGAGCCACCGTGCTGTCCAAAATGAACCACAATTTTTAAAAGGAGAATTCTACTAGACTTTGGTTCTATGAGTTTAGCACCTCCATTATATTCACTTTTGTATATATTTTACCTGGCATAAAACTCGAAATAAAATTAGGTTGTAACTAAATGCTTGACGAATGAATGAATAAATTAGTGGTTATGAGTACCTTGAAATAAAATAATAATAAGGTCCCTAAAGTATCCTGACAGATTATTTATTTATTTATTTTAGAGAGAGGGTCTCACTCTAATGTGCAAGCTGGAGTGCAGTGGCACAATCAGAGCTCACTGCACCCTTGAGCTCCTGGGCTCAAGGGACCCTCCCACCTCAGCCTCCTAAGTAACTGGGACTAGACGTGCATGCCACCAAACCTAGTTAACTTTTTTAAATAATTTTTTTTTGTAGAGACAGTATCTCACTATGTTGCCCAGGCTGGTCTCGAACTCCTGGACTCAAGCTATCCTTCAACTTTGGCCTCCCAAAGTGCTAGGATAACAGGCATGAGCCATTGCACTAGGCCTTTGGGAGATTTTAAAATGCTTTACATCACATCTGTTTCATTTATTTTATAGCACATACTGCTCTACATTTTGCTCCTTTGGGAGGCCTTTCACCTGCCTGATTCCTTCTCAGATCCTCATACAAACTGAATCCACTCTGTGTGAAGTAGTACCATTCTCCAGAACAGCACTGTCCAAGACAAGTTTCTATGATGATAGCAATGTTCTATTATCTGCATTGTCCAAGATAGTAGTCACTGGCCACACTAGTAGCACTTAGATTTTAATTAATTTAAATTTAAACAGCTACATGTGTTAGTGTATATTATATTGGACAGCACTGTTTCAGAATCCTATCCTGTTTTTAATTCCTTTATGGCACTTATTACTGGAAATTATCTTTTTAAAATATATATTTTTGTTTATTTATTATCTTTTATTTCTCTGTATTAGTTTCTGTCATAATAAACTAGCACAAACCTCGTGATTTAAAACACCAAAAATTCATTATCTTCTAGTTCTGGATGTCAGAAGTCTGAAATGGGTTTCACTGGGCTAACATCAAGATATTGACAGGGCTGCACCCCTTCTGGAAGCCCCAGAAGGAAATCCATTTCTTTGTCTTTTCCAGCTTCTAGAGGCCAACTACATTCCTTTACTCATGGCTTTCTCTTCATTTTCAGAACCAGAAGAGTGGTATCTTCAAATCTCTCTCTCTCTCTGGCTATGATTCCTGCTTTTGTCATCACATCTTCCGCCTCTTTCTTTTTTTAGAAGGATGCTGGAGATTACATGGGGCCCAGCTAGTTAATCCAAGATAATATCTGTATTTTAAAATTAGCTGATTGGCAATCATAATGTCATCTAAAAATTTAATTCCCCTTTTCCACATAAGGTAATATATTCACAGGTTACAGAGATTAGAGCATGGACATCTTTGGGGATGGCCATTATTTTGCCATTCACACCCTGCAGTAGAATTCAAGTTCCATGAAGCTCAGAGACTTGTTCATTACTGTATCCTCAGAATGACAACATTGCCCTTAAAAATAAATATTTATTAAGTAAATAAATTTCAAAATTTCTTCTTTGGGGAACAAGTTTTGATATATACTGACAACTGCAGAATTTTAAAAATATAAAAATTACATTTGAAGACAAACTCATATATAAAATCATTCTTTTTAATATATTACTTTTTCACAAGGCTTTGTCAAGACTTGAAAGTTTCAATTATGCTCAGTTTACTGCTGTATGTTGATAGTCTTGTCCTCATAAATTAATTTTAAAAGAGTCTGGCTATCCAGCTTTGTTGGAGAGACTGCACCAATAAGACATAGGCTTTTATAAGCAGAATATTATCACACATTGATGCTTTAGTATGAAAAATTAATATTATTTCTCTATAGCCAAAAATATGTATTGACATTTCTCAACTATGTTTTTGTGCTGAATATTTGAGTCTGTTATCTGATAATAAGTTCCACCAAACTCACAGTGTAAAATCACATTATCTTCTGAAACTTCCAAAATAGCTAGCATAAAATCCACTATTAATTCACACTAGCGAATATAATAAGCATATATAGTCTATTCACTTTAAGAATTTGCAATAAAATAGTGGAAATATGGCTGAAGATTAGTTGCCACAGTAGCTGAAAAATAATATCTATTGACAAAATGGTAAATTCACTCTAGGCAACTGTTAATATGACTATGTAATAGTTCTAACTACCTGTCTGTGTTTTTTACTCATCTCCACAAGGGATAGCACTGAGGCTATACTGAAGCAAGTAGTTAAATATTCTGCAAAATTTAATGAAACTTCCAGCTGTGAGATAGATATATCGATATATCTATCTATATATATATCTATATATCTTCATGTGCTAAGCATATATATATCTATATATATAGCTTAGCACATGAAGCCCCAAATACAAATAGTGCTAAGACTTATAGATCATATTTCACATTAAAAATGAAAGTTGTATAAATTTGCTTTATTTTTTAAATATATTTCTTCCAAGTGTGTTAAAGCATATACAAATAATCACACGTCTGGAAGTTTAACCCAAAACAAAGTTAAAGGCAAAAAAGAAAAGAGTGGTACAGAAGAATTTAAAATATTCATTAAATTGACAGAGCATGCTAAGGACATTTAAATAAAGAAGTCTAAAAAAAGCAAGAATATGATTTCATCATATATCTTCAACAATAATTACAAACACATAGTTCTGTTATCTTCTAGAGAAGGTGATATTTCACTACTCTGCAAACCTGACTGGACAGAGTAGACTACATGGAATCCCAATCCAGACTATTATCTACTTCAAAGTGTTTTTCCCACATACCAGTAAAAGGAAGATTGGAATGTAATGTTTTTGGATGACAAAAATAAAATGTGGGCTAATTCTTCAGTGGAATTAAATGTTTTGTGGTATTCTTGTTTGAAATAAAACTTAAAGGCTTTGGTCAAAATGTTCTATTTCCTCTGGTATGTCTTGGTTTGAAGAAACAACTTAATATTTTTACTATCAATGAAATCACTGCAATAATAAACTACAGTATTTTTAATCTGATATTAGTCATACATATATTATTTGTTCTTGATCTAAACAGGAAACAATATTTTTGTGGCAACTAAATTTTCAAAACATTCCCATTCTACACATCTGTGTTTTTCTCTCTCTAGATAGACTTCAATGAAGGTAGAGACTGTGTCTTATATACTGTGGTATCCCTACAGCCTAGCACAATACCTGAAACATAGTACAGGTCCAATAAATATTTTCTGCATTTTAATTATTAAGTCATAGTGTTAGGTAATCATACAGTAATCAGTAGATGAGTTACTAAGAATCATTACAGTAATAGCTACAGATATGTGCAATGACCGACTCCATAGTAATGACTTTTATGAGTAATTTATGGAAATTTGGGGTTATTTAGGTTAAAAACCAATATTATTATTACATAAAGGATTAAATATTAAGCCAAAACATTTTTGCAATTCTTTACTAAAGCCACTGATCACAGTCCTCTATTTTTGTAGTGCTTACTAGCTCTATGAACATTTATTAGCACTAAAAGTATTAACACAGTGCAAATACCAATAGACCATAGCCATCATTTTATTAGTATTCAAGAGGTCCCTAACATTAAGAAACAATATAAAACTAAAAGAAATTAGCTGAGTACAATTTAAGTCAAATATATGAACCAAATGGCTACTGTGAAATTAGTTCAGAAATCAATATGTTAGAATATACAAGAGATTTAACCTCTGGAAATTTTACTTTGGTTCTTAACTGTAAAAACAACTACTCTCTCAAAATTAGTTAGAAAACACCACAGTACCAGATTCAGTATCTTTTCTTCATCCTTCCTTGGATCTCTGTGATACAGGAACTGTCAATCTCTTCTAAGAGTATCTCTGATACCTTCCATAACACTATATTCTCCTATCTGCTTCCTCTCTGAAATCTTTCACTCATTTCCCAACAACTCCAACTTTTCCCCTTCCCTGAACTGACTCTAGACTTATTACCAAAACTTTAATGTCTTTTTGTTTGGTGCTTATATATCCTATTTCTTAGCCTAATTATTTCAAGTGTTTATTTTGCAACTAAATTTGAAACTTCCCAAGGTCAGGAACCAAGGATTCTGCTTCTGAATTTCTTACTAAATATATAGATTGATTATTTGGTGCACCGAAGTCACACAAATATTTATACTCTACGGATTGATTTATTATAAATAGGCAGCATTCATACAAATTGGTAAAACATTTCTGCAGATGATTACATTTTTAACTCAATTTTAACCACCCTCAAAGAAACCTGAACAAAGGTATTGATCATCTATGTCACTACATCAGGAAGAAAAATATTTTCTTAGCAAACAAACATTTTCATTAGAGAACCTCCTACTGAAAATATTTGGTTCAGATGTGGTCTCTGCTTAAGCTGGTCTACATGCATGTTGTTAGTTATATACCCATTGGTTCTCTTCACAGGAATCTATAGCTAATTGTATCTCTCATATTAGGTATCTAAGTAAGCCCACTTCTAATTCTTCTTTCTACTTGTAATGTCTAACATGGTGCTTAGAATCCAGAGACCCAGAAAGCACTCAATAAATATTTGGCCGATGACTGTTTCATCGATTTTAAAATCAGCAGTGTATCTAAAGCTAAGGCAGAAAATCTAACAATTAGGATTGTCTCACTGAATGCTGAACAAGCATTATATTTTTCTCAAAAGTCATTTTTGGCTCTTGCACTGTCACACAGCCTGTGATTACATTTGTTTTCAACTCCAGATTCCAGCTACAATGTTGCTGCTTTTATTACAAGTAAATGTATTAGTTGAGTAAATTAAAAGTTGTGTGGTTCTATCTTCCTCTTTATGCATATTCACTGAAAAAATTATTTAAAAAAATCTAAACTTCTAAAACATTAAATTGGCCAGGCACGGTGGCTCATGCCTGTAATCTCAGCACTTTGGAAGGCCGAGGCTGAGGTACGAGAATCACTTTAACCCAAGAGGCAGAGGTTGCTGAGATTGAACCACTGCACTCCAGCCTGGGTGGCAGAGCGGGACCCTGTCTCAAAAAATAATAATAATAATAATTAAATTAAAAATAAATAAATAATTGTTTTAAATAAAACAGTAAATTGTATTTTTTCCTCATTATTGCCTGCCACAGGTTTGGTCTCACTGAAGTCTCTAAGAACTCAGCACTGAACACAAATAATTTTCAGGTAACATAGAGTGTTGTTCTTGGTGACTAAAATTGCCATCCTCCCTTTTTTCTCCTCTCTGTAAGATACAATTGAGAGAGCCCTGAAATAGAAGCCAGAAAACTGAAGCTCTATACTTCTGTCCAACATCCTCTGCATCATTCATTCCTTGTAGATTCAGTGTCCTCATCTTTAATCTGAGGTTCTGAGAATGTATGCATAAAAGAAGTGGGAATGCTTCATGAATTGTATAATACTACTTATATGTAGTGTGATATTATTATTTGTAGAGGCAGAAGACACCAAAAATAAATGTCAACAGAGTATAGACCACTAGCCAACTCAGAAAACCCTGACTTTGTCTCTAAGAAAGCCTTTCTATATCTTGGGCAATCTTTATCCCCCCTTTTTTTCTATCTTCAACATCTTCCTCTTTATGGAGCTTTTTTCTGAAGCCTATAAACAGCCTACTCTGCCATCTGAAAATAAAATAAAACAAAAATCCTCACTGGACTCTACATCCTGTTCTGACTAGGGTCCTATAGCTCTTCTTCCCTTTACAATTCAGCTTTTTAATGCACAGAGAAGGAAAAATAAAGGTCTACACCTGCTGTCTTTCCTACTACTGAAGACTGAGTTTATAATTAATCAATCAATAAATTGCCAAAAAAATCAAAACTCTAATAATAATGTCTTCCTACCTTCCATTCTATGCTCTAAGACATTAAAGTAGTTGTAGTTTTCTGCAAAACAATGCTAATTAATATTCCTGAGAATTTCTTCATGTACTTTTTCTTTTCTTTTCTTTTCTTTTTCCTTTTTTTTTTTTTTTTTTTGAGACGGAGTTTCACTCTTGTTGCCCAGACTGGAGTGCAATGGCGCGATCTCAGCTTGCTGCAACCTCTGCCTCCCAGATTCAAGTGATTCTCCTGCCTCAGCCACCCGAGTAGCTGGGATTATAGGCATGTGCCACCATACTCGGCTAATTTTGTATTTTTAGTAGAGATGGGGTTGGTCAGGCTGGTCTCGAACTCCCAACCTCAGGTGATCTGCCCACCTCGATCTCCCAAAGTGCTGGGCTTACAGGTGTGGGCCACCGCGCCCGGCTGTACTTTTTTTTTATCTAGATGCCATCCTCTTGTCCTTCCTCTTGTGTCATTTCTGCTAGTTACTATACATCTATCCTTTATGTTTTGGATACATCTGCAAGAAACCAACCCATGCTCTCAAGGGTGGGCTGGATACTCCTCTTATGCCATTCTTTCTCACTGTATTTATTAGACAGCATTATAGTTATTTGTTAATGTATCTATTCCTCTCATTATGTATTCCTTAAATACAAGATAATATGTCAATCATCTTTGTGTCCCTATACTCTGACTCAAGTCACTATAAATAAAACAAGTAAAATATAAATTTAACTTTGTTTCCATTTAATTACAGTGCTTTGATGTACATATTTTTATAAGGCTTTGGACCAAAGATGCTAAATATAGCTAAATTATGCATAAGAGCTGGTTCCATGTTTTTAAGCTCAATGCTATGTATATAAAAACTTAGGCAAGGTTGTGCAATGTAATTAGACAGCAATCTAACAACAGAGAAAAAGCACTTAATTTTGAAACATGAAGAAAATATATTTTGCTTGAAATATCAGTCACAAACTTTTATTGAGTTTCTACTATATGCATAGCACTGGAGCTGGATCTGACTTTCTGGGTTTGAGAGATGGTCTTTACCCTCAAGGAGCATATGATATAACTAAAAAATCAATGACATTTACAATAAATGTTATTTAGAAAACAGTGGGCAATAAATAAAAGGATTTATTGTGTGCTAAATGTGTTAAAGAAAGAGGAAGTGCTACCTTTTAGAGAAAAGAGAAAAAATATGTCTATGATGTTCAAAAAGGTTTCAAAGAGGATGCACATCAGACTTGATGGCGGACTTGAAAGATTTGGATGTGAAGGGGAGGAAAAAATAAGGGATAAGGAAAATAACAGAGTTCATGTAGCGGAATGACTTCTCAGGTGTGCCCTCCAGGGGAGGCCTTCCCTGAGCTCCCATCCCAGTCCTCCACCTCTCAGGCAGTATGTGGGAGGGAAGTCTTCTGTTATTCCCCTGATTCTTTGTCTGCCTCTGCCACAGCACAGACCACAAAGTATTATCCTTGTTTTATTTGTCTCATTCCCACTAGACGATTAACTTCTTGGGAGTAAGAATTAAATATTTGTTTCTGTATCAATCAATAAAGAACCTGATAAAGAGCAGGTACTCAGCACATGTTTACCAAATTAATGAATAAATGAAGGTAAATGCCTCATAACTTGCATGGTGGGGGATATACTCCTCTGTAGAGAAAAGCAAGTTGAAATCTCCATCATTTGAGACCAGAGCATCATTTTGTTTAATAAAACGTTGAATTTGTCAGAATCATCCAAAGCAAATTCTAATGTTACTGATAACACTTTAATAATGACTTCTGAAGATAGAATGGGATTTAAATCCCCCAAAGTAGTAAATTATTAGCAAGTGCTTTACGATGACCAAAGTATACCTCATTTATTGAGGAGTACATTAAGCTAGAATCTAACAGTTTTCTCCTACTGGAATCCCTGATTTAAACATACATGTGAGTATTTGTGGGTATACTGGAATTTCTAAAATATTATCAGATTTTTAATCTGAATGTTTCATGCACTTGAATTCCACACACACACTACTTGTAAAGATGTAAAAAAGAGGCTTGTTTTCTGCCCAGAATCCCTGGGAGAGGAATTCTAGCAGGACTTGAGAAGATAAATGTTTGCAGGACTCAGTCAGTACTAGTGAAGGAGGGAAATGGGGGAACAAACACAAAAATGGAGTCCCATTTTCCCAGAAGATAAAGGAGGGCAAGCAGCATATTCCAAAAAAATTCTGTGCTCAAGGAATATCAATGGAATAAATCAAATTTTCTAAATATTCATAGTAAACACTTATGTATCTCCCATCAAACATGATTGCCAAGAAAAATAAGAAGTCAAGAAGAGGCAAAAAATAAGGAATCAAGAACAAATATGATCTACTCCTCAGGTAAAAGCCCACAACCATTTAATAATAATAATAATAATTCACCTTCTCTCTCGCCCCATTATTCTGCTCCTTCTCCACCTGTCCCATTGTTCTCCTTCTTTTCCTCATTATTATTCTTATTCTTATTCTGAATGAAATAGCAGTTTGGTATGTTCAAGGATTGTTGGAAAAAATAAGCATTGCAAAGATGAATCCGCCAGCATCAGGGCAAGAAGGCACGCTGCTAAACTCTGACATCCCTTCTCACCAAAAACATTTAGAGAACACTGAGTCTGTGGCTAAACAGCATAACACAACACATGATGCATTTACATATTTTCTCTCTAATTGGAAAATTCAGTTAATATGAAAAATTTGATATCAGATTATTTTGAATTTTTTTTACAATCATCTTTTATAACAGCATCTAGGAACTTTATTGTAGAGTCACTCACTGAAAAGCAGATCAATTTACAAGTTATAAATTGGGAGCTGTGCTCCTTAAATAAACCATATTTAGGGACATAACTACAAATCTGAATTGATCTAAACTTCAAATGCAAACTCACAAGTACAGAAATGTATTACCATAGAGATTATGTGTGATGCTTCGAGTTACCAAAATGTGTAGGTGAGACTTTCCACTGTATTACAGCACAAATATGACTTAAGTGAAGTACCTTTATCTAAATATTCTATAGTCACAGGCTTTCAAAGCAGACAGTAGCTCTGGGTAATGTATCACAGGTTTTGCAACAGAAGTAACTGAGGTCCAGAGAATTTAAGTCACTTCCACAAAATCACCAAGTTAGTCCATGACAGAGCTGCAATTATGATGCAGATTTCCTGTGTCCTGGTCCAGTTTTAATTTAGAAGCTTTTCTTTCAAATTATTTCAACAATTCATTCATGAAAGTAACAGCCTGTTTAGTCAAGGCCCTCATATCTTTAACTGCATGTTTCTCTCTACACAAGTAGAGAGTCTTAAAATACCAGAATGTAGACAGGCCTGAGGGATGATAGGACTTTTTTCTAAACGTTTGGCTCAGATGCCTGTGGATATTTGTCACCAGTTTAAACTTCTAGCTCTCAGTCACCTTCTGACCCAGAGAAAAGGGATACCATGCTACAAACAGGCTTTTAGCGTTTAACTTTGAATTTGAGACAAGCTTCCTGATGCGAGATGAATAAAGAAAAAGTAATAATAATAGTGATTCAGGCTTCTGCCAGGAAGCTACATTTCACTTGTAGAGAGACTACAGTCCAGTTATAGCAGAAAAATCACATTTTGTTTTTCTATCTGTTCTGTTTTTCCTCAAGTCAAAGCCTCTATTCTTATTTTTTTTTTTACTATTTAATTCCTATTCTGGGGCTTTGGGAGATGTTCTAGATAGTTATATAAGCAGTCTATTTTATTTTGCTAAATAAAAGATTTAAATATGATTTTGAAAAAATACAACTTTACCTTCTTTTATTTCTATGGAGAGTCTTATATTCCTTTTGATTATTATTATTATTGTTTACTTCAGAGAAGAATTTTATTTTGCATTTAGCTAACTGTTCATTACAGTAAAAGCATGCTAAATAATAACACCTTTATGTAATATAATATATGCTTATGTAATAGGGTTTTACAGCTGACTAAGAATTTCTACAGAAATTATGAACTCTTTCTTTTGAACCAATAAGGTAGAAAAATATAAAGTATTATCTCTGTTTTGTAAATGAGAAAATTAAGACCCCAACACATCATGTTTATAAAGAATTTATAAGGAAAGAGAGCTTTATTGCAGTCATCTGACACAGGGCCAGTTGCTATCTGGACTCTATCCACGTTGAGTTAGTAGAAGTTGAGCAAGCTCAAACAGCTGCTTTCTCTTCATTGACTGCTCAGGCAAGGTGCATGCCATCCCTCACAAAAATACTGCCCCAGGGCTCAAATAAGTCTGTCTTGACATCAGTAAAATATCATTAAAATAAACAGATGTTTCATATCTTAAGCATATTTCCACTTTTCTCAAACAACTCTACCAAAGGCAAATGTGCAAACAATTGCCAAAAACTTTATATTAGAAAGAAAGAATTAAATTAAATGTGTATATGTACCACTTAATTTGCCAAATGCATTCTAATACCAAAGGATAATTTTTGGGGGTTTTGCTGGTTTGCTTTTCCTGAAATGCTTTGTAAATAATCAAGAGCTAAGCACAAACCTGCCCAAAGGGAAAAACATGAGATAAGTAAAAATAATTATAAATATAAATACATAGTAAATGAAAATTTACTATTGTCATTTCAAATCTCCCAGTTATAGTTTTTCCTCTTCCACTCCCTCCCCAATTTTGTCCCAGGTGCCTAGGATTCACTGCTCCCTTATCCTTCCTCCTATCAAACCTAGTAACTGGGAATAATCTGATAAAAATTGTTTTAGTTATTGGAGGAAAAGTCTGTAATGAGCCAATCAGGGAATCCATTCTAAAAGTACTAATAACATCCACATTTCTTCAGTGCCCATTAAGGCCATGCATTTTAATTTAACTCCTCAATATGCAGACGAGGAGAGGAAACTGAATCTTAAAGAAGATCAGGAACTTGTTCAAGGTCACAAGGTTAGCAAACGGCAAAGTCTGGACCCAAAGATGTGAATCCAAAGACCCTTCTTTTGTTAACTGTGTATTGAAAGTAAATGGAAAAGAAGTGCTAACTGTAAAAAGCTCTATATGTAGAAAAATGGTAACAGGAACTCTTGGGAAGCTCCCAAAATAACAATTTAAAACAAAAACTCATTGCTGAGTCAGTGTCCTACTCCTACTGCCTGTAGGCCTAGTTGACGGAATATGTGCTTTTAGCCGAAAGAATATAGTATTGTGACACAGTTTATTTATTTATCTATTTATTTATTCTAAAATGACTATGTTTAAAAAATAGGGTAAAAAATAGAAGAGTCAAAGAACATATGTTGAGAGATGTCATCTACTTTTCCAAATTTTTTGAAATTCACTAAATAAATCCCCCAAGACATCACTTAGATATGGTCATACTAAATTAGCATGGAGCCTTACATTTTAGGCATTTCAATGATGCTATGTGAGCCACCTGTCCATTGGTATCACTTATATACTCTTGGAGAGCCCTTCTTCCCAGGCTCTTGCTGCTCTCCATACCCTCTCTCCTGTCTTCCACATCCTGCAGTCTCCATAGAGGCATAAGGTTCTACCCAGGTGTGACTTGAAACTTGCTTTTGAAGAGAAGAAAGACAGGTTGAATTTTTTTTTTTTTAAATCACCTAAGACAGGAAAGGGACATTATGGGCAGAGAACTACCTATTCTGAAATTATTCCAGTGAAATTGTCATCTTGGAAAGCATCTCCCTGAAATTCAGCTGGCCAAGTTAGGTCACTTTGGGCATATACCATGGGGCAATTTTAGGGTTCTATCCTGAAGAAACTCAAAATCCCTCTTCAGAAACAGTAGGAATCTGGCTGGCAAATTTCCATTTTGATTATAACCAGACAGCTTTCAGTTTCTATTAGAAAAGACTTGAAGTAATTTTAACATTTGGATTGTGGAACCCTCCGTGGGCAAGTAGAGTGTCTATGACAGCTGAATTTTATTCGTCTGTAGTGTGAGCCACGGAGTCCATCTGGGATACTGGGGCTTTTACCCAGAGCCAGTATGTCAGTTGATTCTCGTGGCGAGAAAATATTGAGAAAAAGATCTTAAAAGGCAAATTACCATATAACAAGCTTGTATGACAAGAGCATAATATCATTAAATCTGTGTCCTAGGACGCTAACTATAGGGCATCTGGACTATATTAGCTCCCCATGAGGCTCGGAAAGAAAAGAATGCCAAACAGGTAAATTGTGATAAGAGGTCAGGCTGGAAGGAAAAGTCTGAAATTTGAAAGAAAATCTGGGAAAAAGACATCCAGATGGAGCTTAGTGCAAAACACTGGAAAGGCAAGGATGGCCTCCCAATCCTGAAAAATGCCTTTCCTTCAGACAGAAAGGTGAATGAAAGCATATTTCCCTTAAAAACTAAAAATAAGCCAGGTATTCAAAATTTTTTTCTTAGAACTGGACCTGCTCTTACTCCTAGGACTTTAGCAAATGTTGCACCCAAGGAAAGTCAAGAGGCACAAGGTAGCTCAGGTGAGCGGGACACTTGGCAACTTTACAAGATGTATTTATATGCTGAATATACTAAAACTTACCAATTCTATTTTATTATGTCATCCTTCCTATGCCCCAACACAAACACCCACAGTGAAACTTAGAGCCTATTCACTGATTTATCTTTATAGAACTAATTCTAATTCAATTTGTTGTCATCCTTTACATAACAGAATACACTCCCCCACTCCATTTTTTAAAACAAACAAACAAAAATGATTCTAAGTACTGTATAAGGAAATATTTCTAGGCTAATGAGAACTCCATTGGTTTATAAACCTATGAGTTGTGTCTAAGCAAAATTCAGTTCAGCTACACTATGCTTAAGAGAGAACAACAAAAGCCACAAATAAAAAACTTGCCTAATCTCATCAACAATTATCAAAACTTAAGGAAAAATAGGGAAGGATTGAAGAAAGAAGTGATTTTTTTTTTTTTTTTTTAGTCCTGGGAGCTGCTTTGTAAATCCCTGTGCAGTGAAGCAATGCCTCTCATTCCAAATGCAACCCAGAGCAATGCAGAGTGGAAAACAGGTTTCCAGTTTTTAATAGAGACTTCTATGACTATCATAGTTTCACAAAATAACACCTAGAAGGGCATAACACTGTAGCACCTTAAAGGCTTGAACACCAGCTCCCTGATAGAATTTGCAGTTGCTCTTCATTCATCAGCCTCAAGTCTCTTTTTTCCCAGTACAAACTCCTATTTTTTTTTTTTTGAGACGGACTCTCGCTGTCACCCAGGCTGGAGTGCAGTGGCGCCATCTCGGCTCACCGCAAGCTCCGCCTCCCAGGTTCACACCATTCTCCTGCCTCAGCCTCCCGAGTAGCTGGGACTACAGGCGCCCACCACCACGCCTGGCTAAATTTTTTGTATTTTTAGTAGAGACGGGGGTTTCACTGTGTTAGCCAGGATGGTGTCGATCTTCTGACTTCGTGATCCGCCCGTCTTGGCCTCCCAAAGTGCTGGGATTATAGGCGTGAGCCACTGTGCCCGGGTTTTTTTTTTTTTTTTTAATTCTTACAACAGAATCTCTCGCTTAACATGGAATGGTCAGTGCCCTCTGTCCTCTCAAAGCAAATATAGCCCTTTTTGCTGAAACCTCAGAAGTTTTATGTTTGTAGCCAAAGATCAGAAAACTAGGAACTTTGCAGTTAATCTTTCCATGGTAGTCAGTTAACCTCACTGTCCAATCCACTTCACCAAAAATTCTGGCTGAAACTTCATCACAACATGAAAACCATAGTGCCCTGAATTAAACTGTAACTTTCCATTTATTTAATATAAAAATCTGAGAACGAAAGAATGAGAAAAAAAAAGCTTTAAAATACTTCCAAACTAGCATAAATGAATCTGAGAGGTTCTTCTACCTCAAGAGCAAATAAGCCTATTACTATGAAAGCTAAATGAAAATATTAAATCTCTATAAATAAATTGTATTTGCTATGGGAACCATCCATATTTTCAGAATTCCATAATAAAAAAAATTTAAAGTTGATGACCACAGAACAACCATATTGAATATCAAAAATTTAATTAAAGAATTTCATAGCTACAAATTATCTGGTAAAATTCCACCTGCATCTCTCCTTCCAAGTTAAACCCATCATTTTTTATTATGAATTTGAAAACCTACAAAGAAAGAACAGTGCAGCAAAGTAAGGAAAGTGTGAGTATGAAAAATGTGCCAATATCCCACACCAGTTTCTGCTTTCTGGAGTCAATTTCATAAAAATCTCCTGGGAGTGAAGGGAGTGAGGTAAATTAACAGCTTTTGGAAAGTGAAGAGACTTGCTACAGAGTCTGGGAAAAGATGGTCACCCCTACTACTGTATCCGAATAGTCCTGGGAGCTGCTTTGTAAATCCCTGTGCAGTGAAGCAATGCCTCTCATTCCAAATGCAACTCAGAGCAATGCAGAGTGGAAAACAGGTTTCCAGTTTTTAATAGAGACTTCTATGATTATCATAGTTTCACAAACTAAACTCTGAAGCAGACAGGGATGGTAGACAGGCATGAGGTGGCACTGGGGCATGGAGTGGATCATGCTTGGCTTGCTCACACACTGGGAACCAGCACAAAGTAAATGTATGTGGGGCTGCGAAACAGGGGAGGGGCAGTGATGCTTCAGATCATGGGGCCATTAGAAACTCTCCATTGGGAAATGCCTTTTGTTTTTCTTTCTTTCTTTTTTTGTATTAGTAAACCTACAAAAGGAAATAATACAATATGGCCTTTTTATTTGAACAGTAAAAATTTTAAATGGGTTTTAAAAGCTTATTAACACACAGATAAAATCACTGATATATTACCAAAATGATCATAGTAGAATAAAATATAAAAATTGCATTTTAAAATTTTTATGCTAGGCTTAATCTCTCTGAGAGCAAAAGTTGTTTCTTTATTTCTCTGTAATATCTAACATCTTGGTTCTCATAATCACCCAATAAGCATTTATTATCTCTATTATTATTAAATAATAATTTTTTTGAGACGGATTTTTGCTCTTGTTGCCCAGGCTGGAGCGCAATGGCGCGATCTCAGCTCACTGCAACCTCGCCTCCCGGGTTCAAGCAATTCTCCTGCCTCAGCTTCCCGAGTAGCTGGGAGCTGGGATTACAGGCATGTGCCACCATGCCCAGCTAATTTTGTATTTTTAGCAGAGATGGGTTTTCACCATGTTGGTCAGGCTGTTCTCAAACTCCTGACCTCAGGTGATCTACCCAGCTCGGCCTCTGAAAGTGCTGGGATTACAGGCGTGAGCCACCACACCTGGCCTGTTATTATTAAATAGTAATCTAATAATAATCATCTGCCATATTAATGAGTTCCTATTATTAGTTGGGAGTCACTGCTATCATGTAGGTGTTAGATAGATAGATAGTATTCATCATAATTATTTGAAGTATCATTCCAATTTGATAGATGAAGAAACTGTAACACAGAGAAATAAAAAAAATTGCCCGAGAATATGGAAATACAATTTCCAAAACCTAAATTTGAATTCGGATCACTCATACTTGAGTGAACGAATTGTGGAAAAAATTTTTCTAGATTTTCACAAATAGTACTCAATTGGCATTTATGCATGGGTGGATCTAAAATATAAAATGACTTCATGACATAGTCCCTATCTCCCAGGAAACTTATTCTTGGTTAGCACAAACACACTTGCAACATAAGGACCATCCCTTGAAAGGAAAGGGGATATTTATTGCAGATAAGAATCTCTTAGTTTCTTAGAGGATATAAGATTTGAAGCAGAACTTGGAGGAAAACATCAATAGGCAGAGGGAAGATAAAAAGAGAAGCACTGAAGTACCTAAATCGCAAAAGTTAGATGTGGGAACAGTAAAAAGTTAGATCTGAAGTGAGAAAGGATGCTGCATGGTGTGCTGCAATCAGTAGTGTTAAGGACAATAATGGAAATCATAGTATTTGTTTAGATACAGTGGAGGAGAACATGAGCAGTCTTGCAAGGCAGCTGGATACTCTTGGCACTCTTAGGTAAAAAAAAAAGTCACACAGAAGTAAGGTCAGTATAATGTGTTAAGTGTGATGCAACAGTCAATGGCAGCTTGGAATAAATTGTTAATGTTAATAAATTATATTAATAATTAATAAATAATGTTAATAAATTATAATGTCACTGGAGAGTGACATTATAAAAGTGGGACTTAGCCTAATCTGGTGGGAATGTGTAAAACGGATTCATGGAAAGAAAGCATTCTCAGTATGGTATTGTTCCTGCATGGCAGAGGTGTACTGACTGTTGTGAGATGGCCAGAGGAGCACTTAGCTCAACTAATGAGAGAATGTCAGTTCTGGGTGGAATCTGGACAGTAGAGAATGAAAGGGGATAGAGAGAGAGTGAGAGAGAGAGTTTGTGTGTGTCTGTGTGTGTTGGGGGTGGCAGCCTCAAGCAATTCCTTATTTTGAGGCTGAGAATGACAGTTGATGCGACTAAAACTCAGAAATGGGCTAGATCAGCAGGATCTTGTATGTCACACTAAGAAGCTTGAACCTTATTCTTTCTACAAGTTACAGGACCCAATGAAAGTTGTTAAGGAAGGTAAATACAAAATTAGATAGTTTTATATCACACTAGCAACAGAAGGCACCAATATATGTGTTTGTTGGAAAGCAGATACATGAGAGGCAAGGAGATGAATTTAGATGCTATCACAGTAACTGAGGGATAGATGATGAGGGCCTAAACTGAGGCATTTGTAGTAGGGATGGAGAAGAGGTACACTTGAGAAACATTTAGCAGGTAAAATGGTAGATCTTAGTGAACGATTGGAATTGTGCTGATTGAATGACTGACTGAATGACCGGGTAGCATCATGTTGCCATTAACTGGCATAAGGGGGACTACATAAGCAAAATGACCAAGTCTTGAAGGGAAGCCAATAAATTAAGTTTTGGATACACTGAATTTCATGTGGTTCTAGGCTGCCTTTGGGACAGCTGAATATATTTATTTATCTAAAGTTCATGTGAAAGATTGGGGTTGAAGAGATGTTATAATTATCAGCATTCAGCTGTTAAACAAAACCCTTAATTCTAGGTGGCCTAGGAAGAGAATATCCAGAGAGAACCAATGAACTAAATCTTGTAAGAAAAGCAAAATGCTACAGGAAAAGAGAAGAAGGAGCCCATGGATGAAGCTGAGAGGGAAAGGTCAGGGAGGTGGAGGAAGAACCTTCAGAGAGTAGCATTTTAGGAAAGCTGGAGTGGTCAATGGTCTCCAATAAAGGAGAAAGGCCTGATAAGATAAGATGAAAAGGGACCCTTGGAATATCACACATTTTAATCCTCACCATGCTAGACCAGCTTAAGTGGAAAGAGAGGCCAAGTGAGGGCATAGGAGGCAGAGACAGAAAACTGCACTGCTCCTTTTAAAGCAGCTGGGCTAAGAATAAAGACTGGGTGGGAGCTAGACACAGGCTGTGGGAGAGAGCTGAACTTGTTTACAAGCTAAAGGGAAAGAGCAGATAGAAAGGAAGTGGCTGAAGTTATAGAAAAGAGAGCATGACTGATGGAACAAGTTCCTCAGGGAGATGGAGAACAAATAAAACACAAAAGAACAAGTCCAGGAGGTGCTTCAAAACAATTCAAAGATTTGGTGAAAGCAATTTAAAAATACACCACTAGGGTTTATATCTGTGGTCAGTGAAGTAGATTGTAATGTCACTTTCCGTGTCTCATTTAAGTACTCTAAAATTACTTTTAAGTAAATTTCTTAAATGGTCCTCCTAAGAATCCCATCAGATGACAAAGGTGCATACTATTTCCTCAATATTTCAGATGAGGACACAAATTCCCAGTGAGGTTAAGGACCCTCTGCAGGTAGCAAAACTGCTAAATAGAACGAGGACCAGAACCCAGCTGTTCTCTCACATGATGGCTGGACCAAGCTTTATTATACTTGTTATACTACATAGACTACAACGAGGCTATGATGCTTACGTTGCAAGTAGTGTTTCCACCAATAATATAGTTTGCTGTCATCTTAAAGCTGAATTCACAATTCTGATTGGGCATCTCAAATAAAAGGTAAAAAGGGGTACAAAACTGTGAGACTGTCTTTCCTCCTTCTTAATCCTAAACTTAAAAAAAAAAAGCATGTAAACATTTTTGAGTTTGAACATAACACCAGAAGGCTATAGGAACAAAGTTTGATTAATTAATTAATATTAATTAATATTGTTAACATTTTTCCTCTTCTTTTTTTTTTTTTTTTTTTTGAGACGGAGTCTCGTTTTGTTGCCTAGGCTGGAGTGCAGTGGCATGATCTCTGCTCACTGCAGCCTCCCCCTCCCAGGTTCAAGCGATTCTCCTGCCTCAGCCTCCCGAGTAGCTTGAATTACAAGTGCCCACCACCATACCCAGATAAATTTTTTTGTATTTTTAGTAGAGACAGGGTTTCACCATGATGGCCAGGCTGGTCTCAAAATCCTGACCTCAGGTGATCCGCCCACCTCAGCCTCCCAAACTGCTGAGATTACAGGAGTGAGCCACACACCCAGCCTCTATCTTCTCTGTAGAAGGCAAGATTTAGATAGGAATAATCTTGCTTTATTGTAATTTCCCTTATACATTGTTTCTTAGTGAATATTTTAGTATAAGATGAAGCCACCTTGATTTATTTGAAGGGTTTAGTTTTTAAAACATTGATAAAATGAAATAAAAACCTTAAGGTTGCCAATATGGTCACACCTTTAAAGCAAAATTTTCCATAGGATAGAGTACTTCCCATGCAAATGCCAAGAGTAAATAGTCTTTTAAATATTGAATATCACAGCTCATTCATCTTACGTAAAATTTAGATAAATATATATGAACTTTATATGGAGATAAATTTAAGAAAACTAGATTATCAGTATCTTCCTGATAATTTCATTCAGACTCCAAAAGCCTACTCAAGCTGTGACTTTTAGATATAAGAAAAGTTCAAAGACTTCATATTTATCAGTAAGTTGATACTGTCTCGTGCTACATTTTTAGTGAAAATTATAGTTTCATGGATATAAATAATAAAAAATATTAAATCAAGGAATATCTTTATATAATTCCAAGATTTGTCTTATATAAACTTGTGTAACTTGCCCAAATTTATACAATAGATCAATTAATAATCAACACTTCCAGTCTTTTCCCCCACCCTTACTATATCTCTAATGTATAAATCTAAGCTTTTCAATGTTGTGATCTCAGAGAAGAAAATCCGATTAAAGATCAGTTGATCCATGTCCATACATTTTAAGAATGCCATGTAAGGCCAGGTGATGATGCATTAATCATTCTTCAAACCAGAGAAAACTGTATGATTTTTAAAAACTACATTCTGTGGCCATAGATTAACACGATTCCAATCTTCTAATTTCCAGCTTCTTAAAACAAAGCTTCCTCTTTCTGCTTTTGCCTCACATCCTGCATTAGGTACCTGTCTAGAATGATGAACACAATGAATTTCAGGCCTGTAGCGATAGTGCTCAAAGTGTGAAGAGCAGAAAGTAAGAGAGAGGAAATATTGAAAATGAAAAACATGCATTCACCTGGAAACACATGCAAATGGCATGTGTCTTCTGCATAGTAGAATGATTCGCCTAATCCACCATGAGGGGTATTTGGGCCTTGAGTTATTTTTCCAGAAGTGATGGTGACTTTGCAATGGTTTACCTACAAACTTCAACTAAGCAGCCTTATAAGTAAAATGAATAACTAGAATAGCAAGTTATTACCAAAATCTTAATGTGTAGCCTCGGAACATAAAAGCCAACAGGTCCACAACAAGATTCAGAGTGTCAGTCAAAGATTTAATACAGTGGTTCACCAATGTAAATCAGAGTCAACTGGAGAGCTCTAAAAACATACAGATGCCCAGACCCCATCCAAACTTCCTAGATATTTGGAAAGTAGAGGGGTCTAGAATCTATATTAGTCACAAGATCTTAGGTGATTCTTTATACCATTTTTTATCAACACTGATCTGTGGCTTGCTTACCAATGACCCTACGAGTCATGGTCCAAGTATACATTGTGTTAGTCAATATTAAAAATTCACTAAATCTATGAATCTACCAATGTACATATGTAGAAAGAGATATACTCTTCAAACTAAAGCTTCAGTTTAGTTTGAATAGAAGTTATAGGTGTCAAAATTTATCTAAAGACAAGAAGCAAAGAAAATGTAGCCTAATATTTATGTGCCATTCAGTCTTCTTGGCTTCACAGTCTACTCAGTAATGAACAATAACCAAAGTGGATCTAGTCACACAACTATATTTTGTCCATTGAAACCGTAAGATCTAGGCCACTAAAAGTAGCTGACCTTTTTGCTCACTGAGGTAGGGACCATAAAACTCCTAATAGTGGTGCTTCCTTTTATCCTTCATAGCAGAACTCAATTCAGTAGAGTATATTGCCAGCACCACCCAGGTAAGGGCTACATTTCCTAGCCCCTCTTGAAGTTTTGTGTGACCATATGACTAAATTCCGGCCAACTGTAAGTAAGTTTAAATGTTATGAAGACTTTAAAGTCTTCATAAAAGGGGGCAGGGTGGGGAATGGCTCACAGTTTTTGTTTTCCATCCTCTATCCACATGCCTAGAAAGTACACGCAATGGCTGGAGCTTCAGCAGCCATTTAGGACCATAAAAATAAATTTAAAAAAAAATACCTAGAGATATGGGAGCCAGGAGAGGTAGAAAAAACCTCAGTCCCTGATGACTTTGTGGAGCCAATATGCCAGCCTTTCACTACCTGCTTAAAAGCATTTCTTTATATTTAAAAAAGAAAACTTTTTTTTTTTTTTTTTTAGACAGAGTCTCACTCTGTCACCCAGACTGGAGTGCAGTGGCACGGTCTCAGCTCACTGCAACCTCCGCCTCCCGGGTTCTAGCAACTCTCGTGCCTCAGTCTCCTGAGTAGCTGGGACCACGCCTACCTAATTTTTGTGCCACCACGCCTACCTAATTTTTGTATTTTGGGTAGGGACGGAGTTTTGCCATATTGGCCGGGCTGGTCTCGAACTCCTGACCTCAGGTGATCCGCCCACCTCGGCCTCCCAAAGTGCTGGGATTACAGGCATGAGCCACTGCGCCTGGCCAGAAAACCTTTTTTTGTTTGTTTAAACTACTGTGTTCTGCTACATGTACCCACTATAAAAGTCTGAATGTCCTACATGTTTCATAGCATGTATTTCAACAGTAATGAGTTTAAAACAATTTATGAGTTAACATGCATCTTAAGCTATGTATACATATTTATACATATTCTGTACCTCCTTTAAAATGATGTCATCCAAATACTACTGAGTGTTAAATATCTGCTTCCTGATTTTTGTATCGTAACAATGAGATAAATGGCAGACATATCATAAAAATGCAAGAGACCATGACATATAAGACTGTGAGCCCCTCATCTCTCAGTAATCAAAAGTTAGCTTGGGTCCAGGAGGATATCAGTGTAGGATTGCAACATGATGGCTGTAAATTCATGGGCCGGGAGCCAAATATATACTCAGATATATTTTATTTGTCATATGCAATATCTTCTGAAAATGTTAATTCTGAATGCCTTAAAGTGGACATGCACCTTCAGTTCTCCACAGGCCCCATCATCACCTATTGATGTACAAACACTGGCTTGCTTCACTTGTTTATATTACCTGCCTGGCCTCTGAAAGCATTGAGGTTTACAGTATTTGGAAACAAAATGATACATTTCTGCACCTTCCCTTCTCCATTGCTTATCCCATGTTGAATACAATGATTCATAACAAAGATTATTTTCTAAAATTAAGCATGCCTACTTCTAATAACAAGAATATATATAGCTCACTAGATGCTAGGCATTAACTTAGGAATATAAATACACTGTAAATGCTCTAGCATTTTCCTTAACACAAATGTGGAATCTTTTGAAGACCACCACCCCAATGCACACACACTCTCACCACACGCACACACACACGCACACACACTCTTTAAAAGCTGATTTTGTCATTTTAACTCCCTGATTTTTCACACACACACATACACCCACACAAACTCTTTAAAAGCTGATTTTTTTCATTTTAACTCCCTAATTTTTGTTACGTTAGTTTTAACTAAAGTCAGCCCAACTCCCAAACTTTCTCCTTTCAGTTTCTTATAAATTTAGAAAATCAAATCAGTTCTTAAAACTCAGTGAGAATGGAACTGATTTTGGCTTAAAATGCCTAAAACTTTATTTATTTACTTTTATCTTCTCATTCATATGTTTCTATCAGGCAGGCATACTCAGATTACATTTTACATTTCTGGTAAATAACCACAGTCAAGTAAAGGGAAATATACCCTGAAGTCATAAAAAGAAAGAAAAAAATAAAAACTTATTAATATGCACTTACATGCAAAAACAGATCTCCACATTTCCAAGAAGACATATTTGTACAAAATGTAAATATCACATTATGTGACTGTTATAGATAAAATTTGAAAAATGTACTTGCTTTTCATGTGTGCCTCAGATATTTCTTTAATTTAAAGCATCGATCTAAGCTTACTCTTCCCCAAACTCAAAATCAAATGGAGTTTCTAAATTATGACACCTTTATTAAGCTTGTGATAGGCCTGAACAGGAAAAAGAAAGTATTGCCAAGTATCCATACAATATCAACTTAAACCAAAATATGCATAGTAAGTAAGTACAATATAAGTTAAGCAGCTCTGAATATACTATACTCTGGAATTATTTTCTCTATTATGTTTGATTAGGGCAATGACGACTTTCTTTTGCTGTTGAATTTTTATCACTTATATTCTCTTAAGTTGAGAAATAAAATACTGGAATTTTTTACAACACATATGCAAGCAATTACACATTCTGTAAAATTTGATGTTTGGAATTCCATTTTCTGTGCTATTTGGTTATACTGTTCGCGGGGGGTACTGGGGTTGGATTGGAGTTGGGGACTTTTTTGCATCAAGCATCACATTCCTTACATTTATGTCAATTACTATTAAGAAAAATTATCTGCTCATTTTTCAAAAACACCTACAGAGTAATTATAACTATTTGGGAATGTCTTTTAAAATATGGCTTATTTCATGTACCTTGTGAAACAGTCCTTTCATTTATTCACATATTCAATTATTTCCATACTTTATTAAAGTACTTTATTCATTTTAACATAAATTAACAAAGAAAGTGGTATTAAAGGTTTTAAATTAAAGTTGGTTGTTTTGGTGGGGGAGGGGAGTAAACTGTTCTTTCTAGAGTCAAATTTTCAATTTCTATTGTAATTTTTCTGTGTTTTTCTCCTCCTGTTTTCTTCTACTTTCTATTCAATTATTTTTGCCACCCTTCCAAACAACACATGCTTTTCATGCCATTACAAAGAAACTCAAAAGTTTTCACCTTTTATAAATTACCTCATATTTTAAAAACATAAAACGTAACATAAAAAGCTCCAAGTCTTAGAAAGTGCCCCCTCTATGGGACTCCTGACAGATTGTTGGATATTCATTTACAAATTCGTATTTTCACTTTTTAAGCTTTTTAGAACTTCTGATCTCTAGATTAATTTTATAAACTTTTTGAAACCAAAAACACACAGAAGCAGATATTTGTTCTAAAAATATAGATATATACATAGTATATATACATATATACCTGTATGTATGTGTCTATATATGAAAGTAATAGAAAAGGTTAATGAATGTCCAAAGTTTTAAAAGCTTGAGTTTGATGTTACATGGTTGAGTTGATGAAAATCTACAGTGGCTTATTTTAAAGGAGTACATGTCTGTATTTGAAATTGCAACCCTCAAGATTAAAGATTTAATAGAGGAATCAATTTAAATATTTTCTTATATACTACAACAGCTATGCATTTTTGCTTAACCATACCATATAACCCAACTGTAACATATGAAAATTGCATAGGAAAAAAATGTGGTCACCAGGCAAGATTTATCTTTAAAAAAAAAAAAAAAAAAAAGCTTGGGTCTAAGGGGTAATGTCCATGCAAATATTCCATGCCAAATAAGATATATACAAGACATGCTGATTTCCTGCCTTCCGCCATCCAACCGGGAACCACCACTGTCCTGTTAATCAAGCCAGTAGGGTGGGAAAATACCACTGTTTAAGAAATCTGGCTTCTATCAGCCTCTGTCATGGAGAAACAAACGAGACTGCCTCCCAGTAAGCAAAAGTGATCACATTTTCACAAATGAAAATGGTAAAAAGAAGTTTAAATTGTTAAAGAGGAAAGAATGAGGAGCCAAAGACAAAGAAAAATCAAAGCTATCAGAGTTGCTGCAGAGGTTTTACTAAACAAAGAATTTTATGAAGCAGCTGAAGTTCAGTACAAAAAGACTCCACCCTACCCAGCTTCTGCCGCGACTTTTCCTTGCTCTGAAAACTCCAGCCCACAGAACAGAGCTCCTCTAACTAAAATGCCTTTAGTGCTCCGTTTTAAGCATTCACTCTTTTCTTATTTTAAACGTCCCACTCTCACACTCAGCCAAAAGGACTTATTGTAGGCTTTCCCAGAAAAATTTAGTAGTGTACTCTCTCCAACGGTGGATCTAGAAGCTCCGGATTTACAAACATCCCAA
The DNA here is from genome assembly GCF_000001405.40 of Homo sapiens. Classification (NCBI taxonomy): domain Eukaryota; kingdom Metazoa; phylum Chordata; class Mammalia; order Primates; family Hominidae; genus Homo; species Homo sapiens. The sequence continues at coordinate 189,179,352 of NC_000002.12, forward strand.
TTGTCTTTCAAGTCGTTTTCCAGGTGCAAATCCGTCAGCCCCCTTCTCAAACTTCAAACCAGAACCTCCTCTTCACGCTCTTCCTGAGGCTTAACATTCCACCTATTTCCCAAACCGTGCAATAAACACTACAAGCAAAGCAAATGGCAAACTCACCATCCTCGTCTTCTTCCTGGGCTTTTATTGAGACAAATTGCCCTAATAAAACAATAAGAATGAGGAGAGGTCTTGCTTCCGCCCAGTTTGCCATCATGTCTAAATATTAGACATGTGGGTTCTCCTGAGAGTGAAAAGTAGATTCTGAGGTTATTGTAGCACCATGAAGTCAGCTGTGGGCTCTTCTTTCAGCACCAGCCCCAGGGCAGCCTCTGCAAACCCCCTTTTTCAGCACCAGCTCCAGCACAGTCTGCGAAAACTTTTTTCAAGCGATGCAGCTTTAAATAGGAAGAATGCTGCCTCCACTTCTTTTCCTGCCCCTTTTCAGCTTGTTCAGGCTCATAACCATCCAGTGTCTGCCAAGCAACGGTCTGATTGATGGTAAACAACCAAATCAGAACACGCGTCTCTGTGCCTGAACTTTCCCTATTTCATTTAACTTTTAAGCATAGATGGGGCTTAATAACAGAAACAAACATTTGTTTCTCTTTTCTTTTATTTTTTAAGAAAGGCTGTTAGAAGAAAAGGGTTCTATTTTCCCCTCCCTAACCCTTCCCCCCAGACACACACCCTTTAACTTTTCCCCTATAAGCTGAAAAAGACATTCCGAAGGAAATCCAGCCTTTTACCCTAGTTTTTTTACATTTAGATAATTCAAGACTCTCTTCTCCACCTTAAATCTTTAAACAATCACATTTTAACCCTTTCTTTTGACTGAATAGGGAGTATTCTTATCCCCTTCTCAGATTCGGTTTCTTTTCCCATACTCTGGAAGGAGATTATTAGAATGTTGCCCAGGTAAAGTCCAGGTTAGAAAACCATTTTGGATAAATGAATTTGTGATACATTGTAATTTGAATTAAGAAAGCATGTCCTTTCCTAATTTCTCCACATCTCTTGTTAAGGGGCCACATCTTCAGGTTCCTCTTGTCCCAGAGAGTTTTACCATGTTGAAAAATAGTCTACTAAGCAGTGCAGAGGAATGGGAAGTACTCTACCTTTGGATGAAAAAAGGCTTGCTTCTGCCTTTTGTGAGTGGTTCTGCCACTCAATAATTTTGTAAATGTGCATATAGTCCTTTATCTCTGTGCACTCCAATTTTCTCATTTGAGAAAAGGGCTTTACCCTGACCAGTGTACAGGGTTTAGTGACACTAAAATGAGTAATGTATTATTAATGAAGCTCCAAATTGCAAAGAGCTACATAAAAGCAGATGGTGGTATTATTAGCTTTAAGCCAGCTTTGCAGGGAATATGATAGCCCCAGTTGAACATGCATTTTAAGGAAAATTATCGATGAACTTTTGTGCCACCCTCACACTTGCCAAGATCTTAATGACCTCAGAGAGTTCTATACAATCTAATGTATTTGCCACCTTGAGTCTCCCTAGAATCAGGATGGATGTTCTATACAATACAAGTGAGTCAATTGTTTATAATTATTGGGCAACAGGTGCCTTGCACTGTGCTAAGCACTGGGCAGAAAGGATGACATAAAAGAAATAAAAGACATACCCATCACCTTCAAGGAACATATGTAGGTGTTGAGAAACTAAATTTACAAGAAATAAAGATATATAAGCCAGAGCATATAAATATGTGAGGGATGCATTAAGCCCGGAGAAAGGAGAAATTATCAAATGAGATTAGGCAAGCAAGACATTATTACTGTTCTTAATAGAAGAAATCCAAGAACCTTTGCATTTTAGCTTTGGAACTAGACTCTGGATAAATATTCCAGTGGAGGTCAATTTTCCCGGTTGTTTCCAGCTTCTAACCCTGTACCTCTCAGTTTATCTTTTCATTTAGACATGTCCCATTTCAATGACTTCTGTCACCACCACACTGTTCTCAGGGGTGCCCTTCCACTTAATGAATGGGCTAAGTAAGGACCAAAAATCACCTTTCAGTTAATTCTTTCTAGAATATCTTAGAGAGGCTAGGACTTGAAATCCATCTGACTATATATTCAAAGATAACAGGAAGATAAGTAAATGTGGGGGGGAGGAATTAACCTTTCTCTGAGCTTGCCAGTCCTATTCTACCATGAGGCAATTTTAGACCAATACCACCCTGATACCGAAGGGCTGGCACAATTTTCAGGCACCTTGTGCAGCATTTTTACTGAAGTGCAAGACGGCAGACATTTATGGAGAATCTACAACTCTCAGATCCTATGCTGGAGATAAAACAATGATTAGGCAAGATTGCAGGACTTGTAGCAGAGTCAGTGTATGGAACACTCAGTGGCTGCTCAGATCAGTAGTTTAGTATCTGTTATCTGTTTGTTAATAAAGTTGTTTTAAATTTAACTATAAACATGGCTTATATAAGAAAGGTTAAAACCACCATGCAGTCTCTCATGGTTGCCACCAGTTTCAATCTCCTCTTCCCACCCTACTGAAAGCTCATGGTATGACAGAAGCATAGCAAATATTTGTCAGAAGACCTGAGATAAGTAAATATTCCATATTGTCCTTGTGAACTCTTGAAATCTTATTGCAATCAAGTCATAAATAGCAAAGTATTTTGCAACTTGGGCTTTTTCTCTATGTCTGGTTTTAGGGTCCCACATTACAATTTGGAAAAGACTAAAATATACACAGGTATTGACCAGGAATATCTGTTTAATATATGTGGTTGAATTCAGAATAGAGGACAATGCCATTTCTTAGTCCTTAAAGAACTGATTATAGACCTCACTGCTGCAGTGGGGTACTCAGAAATCTGTCCCAATTCCAGTGAAGCCTATCCTAACAGTGTATGTTTTGTAATAATATGTGCTAGTGGGTGAATATTTTCCAATTCTCACAGCAACCCTGAAAGGTACTTATTATTTTTCTCAAATCATATATAGGCGATTACGGTTCAAAGATGTTTACTTGCTCAAGTTTGCTCACCTAATAAGCAATAAATCTAGGGTTCCACTTCAGTGATGTCTGACTCCAGAGTGAATGTTCTCACCCCTTTTTAGCTCTTTTTAGACCTACTTGACACTCAAACTTCTATTACCACCACACTGTCCCCAGGAGGAGCCTATTTCCAATTAATGAATGGGCTGAGTAAGCACCAAAAATCACCCTTCAGCTACTTCTTTCTGGAATATATGAGAAAATCAGGACTTGTAAACCACCTTGCTAAATATTCAGGAAGAATAACAGAAAAACAAATAATAAAAATCAAAGGTTCTTGTATTTCTTCCACCAAGAAAAGTGATAATGCCTTACTTACCTAATCTCATTTTATAATCTTCCCTTTCTCCGAACTTCTGCTGAGCTTGATGCATGACACACATATTTATATGCTCTGGCTTATAAGAAAAATTGTCTCAGCGCCCTTTCAGGGATGATCCCTCCCTCTGCACTCCTTATCCCATTTCTTCAAATCTCCTTGCAGATGTTACTCTGTCAGTGTCTCCTTCTCTCTTCTCTACCTTCCACCTTTCTTCTTCTGCTAGTACCTTTCCTACAGCCTGTAAAGCTGCTCCTCACTAATAGTCAATCTTGAAAATAAAAAAAGAAGGGGAGGTTTCCCTTAACCCCACATCTTCTGTGGTCTCTTTTTCCCTTCCATTCCTTCTTCTTTCAGTAATCCTCCATCCCCATATCAGGATCTTATTTCTAGCACTCTAGTTTAGATTGCACTGGCAGAGACACCAACATCCCTTTGTTGATAAACCCAAAGATCTTTCTTCTTTCCCCTCCTAACAGTTGACATTCTGATTACTCCCTTAATACTGAAACTCTTTCCATTCATGGCTTCCCTGGTCTCACATACTCCTTTTATGCCTCCTGCTTTGCTAGTCAAACTTCCTTTTCTAATTCCTCTCAGAAAGTCATCTATGCTCTCCAATCTTGCACTATCAGCTTTTTTCCCTTGTTGCCCATTGACTTGGGGTATATTAACTATTAAATTAAATCCCTTGACTTTATTTCTGTTTACATGTTAATTACTCCTAGTCAAGGCCTTCCTCCTGAGCTACAGACCTATATTTTTCAAGTGCCTCAATTAAACATCTCCCACTGGAGAAGCATAAAACTCAGAATCCAAAATGAAACTATTATCTGCAATTGTTCTTTATACCAATTAACACTACCACCACCATCTTAGTCCCAAAGATCTGAAATAGGGAAGGATACTCTTCATTTTCCCTCAACCTGCATCCTATTACTCCCAAAGTCCTCTTGATTTTGTTATGCATTCTTTCATTCAATTACCCCTCTTTCTAAGAAAGCTGACTCCCAGTTACCTACAAAATATAATAACATGAGTTTAAGATAATAATAATAATGCATGCCTATTTCTTGGTTCCAGTCTTCTGCTTTCCTCTTGTTGTTTTATCCGGAGGAAACAGATTTTCCCAGACACATAAAGCAGTTTCACACCTCATAATTTTACTCAGGCTCTGACCTTTGCCTGAAATAACCACTTCCCTGGTCTAATTTATTCCCTCATTTAACAAATATTTATTGAGGGTCTATTATTTGTCAGGTTCTAATGAAGGCACTAAGGATACATAGCTGTGAACAACACAGACAAGGTCCCTGATTCCACACAGCTTACAACCTTGAGTGGAAAAACAGCAATAAACAAGTAGGCAAATATACAAACAAGGTGATCTTAGACAATTAAATGCCATGAAAGAAATAAACAGTCAGTTATTTAAGAGTTGCTCAGGAGTTGGTGGCAGAAGGGATGCTTCAATAGTGCCATTGGGAAAGATGGCATTTTAAGGAAGCAACAGTGAACTTGAGACCTAAAATTTGAAAAAAAAAAAATCACCAGAAAACAGAAAAGAAGACATTTCAAGCTAAAGAAACAGCAAGTGGGAATGGCCTGGACTGGTGTATGTGTTTTCTATTGCTGCCATAAAAATTACTACTGACTATGGCATAAAACGCTAATATCTTATATTTCAGAAGGTCAGAAATCTGACATGGATCTCGTTGAGATAAAATCAAACTGTTAGCAGGGCTGCATTCCTTTTTGGGGTGCTTGGGGAAAATCTATTTCCTTGTTTTTTGAACTTTTAGAAGTTACCTGCATTCCTTGTTTTGTGGCCCCTTCCTCCATCTGCAAAGCCAGCAACATAGCATATTCCTGACATGTCTTCGTTGTCACATTTTTCCATGACTACAAACTGGAAAGGACTTTTACAGACCCATGTGACTACATTGGTCCCATCTGGATATTCCAGGATAGTTTCCCTCATCTCAAAGTCTTTAATCACATCAGCCAAGTCCTTTCTGATGTGTAAGGTAACATACTCACAGGTTCTAGGGATTAGGACGTGAGTGCATCTTTGGGGGCTATTATTCTTTCTGTACCATAGACAGAAATAAACTTAGATTGTGTAAAAGTAGGCAGGAAGCCATTATGGCTAGCATGATATAAGATTAGACACGAGGTTTATCATTAATTCCTTGTCGGTCATGGGGAAGAATTTAAATTTTTTTCCTAAATGCAATGAGAAATCAACAAAGCGTTGTTATACAAACAAATGGCATACTCTAATATGCTACTTTTTTTTTTTTTGAGACAGAGTCTTGCCCTGTCGCCCAGGCTGGAGTGCAATGGCATGATCTTGGCTCACTGCAGCCTCCGCCTCCCGGGTTCAAACGATTCTCCTGCCTCAGCCTCCCAAGTAGCTGGGATTACAGGCACGCACCACTACGCCTGGCTAATTTATTGTATCTTTAGTAGAGATGGGGTTTCACCATGTTGGCCAGGCTGGTCTCAAACTCCTGACCTTTTGATCTGCCCGCCTCAGCCTCCCAAAGTGCTGGGATTACAGGCGTGAGCCCAGTGTGCCCGACCCTAATATGCTATTTTTTAAAAGATCTGTATGGCATGTAAGAAACGTATTATGCGAAGGCAAAGATAGAAGCAGGGACACCAGTTAGAAGTACTCTTACTACAAATGAGAAATAATGGAGCCCTAAAAAAGGACAGTGGAAATAGAAAGAAGCAGAAAGATTCAGGATGTATTTTGAAAATAACATTTCTGCTGGATTACAAAGAGCTAGAAAAAAAATGAGAAATTGAGGAAGACACTCTGCTGATTGAGTGGATGATACAGCTGGCAAAGCTCAACCATTGCCTCCCCTGACAAATGGGTCTGCTTCTTCATAAAACCCACGAGCATGTTCTGTGTAGACCTCTATTAACATCATACTATATTTACCTGTCTGTTTCCCTTATCATATTGAAACCTTCCTGAGATTAAAGGCATTGTTGGGTCATTGTTTGCTTGATAGCTATTTCCTGAACATACATTGTTTGATAAGGAATCAATAGAAAATGATGATTGAATGACCGTGAGACAAGTGGCAGTGAACATAAATAAATATGATTCCAAGGTGTCAATCCCGGAGAACCAGGAAAATGATTGTCCTAGAGAAAGAAATATCTAAGCAAGGAGGAGAAACTAGTAATAGAGCAGGAGCGCATAGAAATGATTAGGTGCATCTGTGCACATATATGCTTTGAAATAGCAAACCATAATTTTTTTTTTTTTCTTAAGAGTGGTAGTCTTGCTCTCTCACCCAGGCTGGAGTGCAGTAGCACGATCACAGCTTACTGCATCCTCGAACTCCTGAGCTCAAGGGATCCTCTCACCTCAGGCTCTTGGGCACGCACCATCACAATCAGCTATTTTTTTTTAACATTTTTGTAGAGATGGGTCTCTCCATCTTGCACAGGCTGGTTTCGAATTCCTGGGCTCAAACAATCCTCCTGCCTCAGCCTCCCAAAGTGCTGGGATTACAGACATGAGCCACTTTATCAAGCCAACAAACCATAATTTTTGAACAGAAAAAGACTGCATATTGTGAATATACTTTTTTCTCACTGAAAGCCACTATGAAAATAATAACCAGAACAATAATAATAATGGTTAGACTGTATTAAGTACTTACTATGTCAAATACTGTGTTAGCACTTTATATGTATTAACTAATTTAATCCTAAAATCAACACGGTGGGGTAAGTGCTACTTTTTTTCGTATTCTACGGATGAGGAAGGAAATTGAGGCTAATAAAAAAACTAATTTGCATCAAATTGCACGTCAAGGAATGACTATTAATAGATCCTGCTTTGAAATCCTGGCTGCACAGTTTTTTCTCTTAACAAGGAGGTTCAAAGAAATTATGTGATGTTTATTTTCTTAGCTTAAGCTCCATCACTGCTTTTTAAAAAAATTACAATATTGGGAGACTCACTCAAAATGTCATTATAATAATATCATTTCAAGGAAAACAAATGCATGTACCAATGAATTTAATTATCAATGCTATCTATATCCAAATTTTATAAATATGTTACCTCTATCTGAAAATCTCTGCTGAAAATATATCTTTAACATTTAGACATTATTAAAGATATTTCCTTTTTTGTATTAGAAATTTTTACCTTCATTCTAACATTCTTATGATATGAATTTTCATTTTAATCTGAATACTTATATTTTAGCTTAGTCATATTTTGGGAAAAGTTTGCATTTTACATTTTAGAATATTGTGCTGTCTCCTAAGGCATCAATCGTTACATTTAGAGATTATGGAGAGTCTTGTGAGCCAAGATCATAAATAATATGAGAGCTTGGCTTGTGTAGCACTCTTCTCTTTACACACTATTCCAGCTCACACATACTCTTTGAGACTTACAATAACTCAGTGAAATAATATGCACCAGATGATTGCTCCCATTTTATATTGAGATTCAGAGATATTAAGTGACTTGTCAGAAGTCACACAATATAATGAATGGCCTCATATATTGGTTTTCAAGACCTAGCACTCTATCCACTGTACCTTGATAATTAAACTGCAATTCAAATTTTATGAACTAGGAAGATAGCAACAAAAATGTCTGCAGATATGTGGTGATTATGAGCCAGACAGAGTTTAAATGCTGGCCCCACCACTTACTACCTGGGTCATGATGAAAACATCACGTCTTTTCTGCTTTTCAATTTCCTCATCTGAAAAATGGGGATAATAATATTACCTACCTCATTGGTAATTGTTGTAAGTATTAAATGAGTTGAAATTTATAAAACTCTTGGAACGATTTCTGGCATAGAGGTAATATTACATAAGTGCTGGTTAAATAAAAATAAGAAACTGTTAGCGTTTCTTCTAAAAAACATATAATGTGTCATTAGTTTAAAATGTTACTATTGGCCGGGCGCGGTGGCTCACGCCTGTAATCCCAGCACTTTGGGAGGCCGAGGCGGGCAGATCACGAGTCAGGAGATCGAGACCATCCTGGCGAACATGGTGAGACTCCGTCTCTACTAAAAAAACAAAAAATTAGCCAGGCGTGGTGGTGGGCGCCTGTAGTCCCAGCTACTCAGGAGGCCGAGGCAGGAGAATGGTGTGAACCCGGGAGGCGGAGCTTGCAGTGAACCAAGATCGCGCCACTGCACTCCAGCCTGGGCAACGGAGCGAGACTCTGTCTCAAAAAAAAAAGTTACTATTAAAATTTACTTAAAGACCAAAACCCCAGGCTAACTAGAGGGAAGTTTAATCCTGTACCACACTATGTTCCACTCACCCTCTCATTCTGCTGTGTTTTTCTTCTTTTATATTATGTTTATTGAGATGTGGTTTACATAATTTCATCTTTTTAGGTGTACAGTTCTTTAAGTTTTAGCAAATGTATACAATGTATACAATAATGTGACTGCCATTATATGACATTTTCTTCACTGCAAAAATTTCCACCATTTGGAGTCAATCTCTTTCTTCCATTCCCATCCCTGGCACCATTGAACTGTTTTCCATTTCTTTAGTTTTGCCTTTCTACAATGTTAGAAAGGCAAATGAAAATGAAATCACACCATATGTAGCTTTTTGTGCCTGATTCCAAGATTCATCCATGCTGTTGCACGTATAAGCAGTTCATTCCTTTCTTTAAAGCTTTTATGTTTACATTTTTAAAATTTATTTCCTCATTCTTAATCATTCATCCATCAGTTATTTTTTAAGCCTAATAAATCTTGAGACATGGATGATTGTTTGTATTGGAATAGACAATTCTCTGTAGCTAAATTGAGAGTCCATGAGTCAAGGCTTCCCCTGAGAGAAGCTTTTTAAATGGCAGGACTAGGCACAGGCTACAAAGGGGAAATTGTCCAGAAACGCAATGGCACCAAAGACCTCCTATAAGAAATGAGTGTGCTATGCTCCACGTCCTGCTTTTAAAAAGTTAAAGGCCTAAGTCTCAAGTTGTGTCTCAACAAATAAGGAGTCATTCATCTCAACAGGATCTGAGTTCTAGCATTGTTCAGTTGACAATTATGTGGCGACCAGAGGTCTGGGAAACGTGTCTTTTCTTGCTATAGAGAGGGCAGCACAGGGCAGGGAAGTCAAAGTGATATATTTTTTTCATATTTAGTCCATCAGTATTTTGTTTAATACTTTAAAGACTTCTGTGTATTGGAGAAAACTATCTCTTCTACACCTTCAGTGAAATTAATTCTGTTTTGCAGATTTATAGAATTTTCTGTCTTTGAGAGAAGAAAGGAGTTTTTTTATAAATTGGCCCTTGAGAGAAAAACAGAATTTTATATAAATCTGCCATTTTAAGTGCCATTTCTGTTGTATTTTTGTGTCCTGTATTTGAATGAAATAATTGCACTAGCCCTCAACATGCCAGAAGAATTCAATACCAAATTATTTGAAAATACTTTTTTAGAAAATCTGAGTAATAAAAATATTCATCCCTCTCTTCTTCTCCTGATAGAGATGTATCAAATGGGAGACGGCCAGCAGTGATCAAGTCTTGATTAATACTGAAAAACAGAAGCTTGTGCTCACAATCCCTGCCATTACAATTCTTTATAGTATGTAAGTACTTTAATAAACATTATGAAGCTAAAATGGCATTATTGATTTAAAAATATATGATGCCCCTGTAATTCCAGTTACTTGGGAGGCCAAGGCCGGAGAATCACCTGAGGCCAGGAGTTAAAGACCAGCCTGAGCAACATAATGAGACCCCATCTCTAAAACAAATAATAATAATAAAATAAATTAGCCAGGCATGGTGAGGACCACTTGAGCCCTGGAGTTTGAAGTTGCAGTGAGCTATGATCATGCCACTGCACTCCAGCCTGGGTAACAGTACAAGACTCTGTCTCTTAAGTAAAAAGGAAAATATGTATGTGTGCATGTATATATATATATTTCATTTGAATTAGAATTTCTATTTAAATATCTTCAAGTAATCAATGAGTTCACATTGGTATAAATAACAAATACGCATTAAGAAAATCTCTGACCACAGCAATTGAAGTCTTAATTATATATTAAAGTATGGTCAGTATATAACCAAGTTTTTCAGTGTCCTAAACATCACAAGGACCCATGCATTGATTATACCGCTTAGAAATCAGCAGCAATCCAAATATTTGGCACTAATTAATTAAAACATGTACATATCCATACACTAAATATACATGCAAAAAAAAGTTGGTGAAAGAGCAATTCATAAACTTGATTTTGAGTATGTTCTTAAATTATTGCATCTACATAAATCTGAGTCCTTCTTGACACCCAAAGGTAAGAAAACCAAAGGCCCTGTGAACACTTCCTACAAAAAAGGGGGGGTCATTTTTAATACACAGTAAATACTAAAGCAGGTTTCATTCACCAGTTGGAGAGTGTACTATTTTAATGTTTTCTTAAAGTATGTGAGTGATATCATCTCATGAGATTTGGAGGAACACCTGGATTTCATTTTGTTGTTTTACAGAGACTTACTTTTGTTTTCTCTGGAATAACTGCAATCAGAAGATATTATTGGAGGAGTGAGATTTTATAAATGTGCCTTGTCTTCCCTTTCAGCATCATCTTCACTTCCATAATTTTGGAATGAAAGGAATCTTGAAAATCCATAAATACAATACACAGCTAACACACTCAAGGGATACTTAGAGCATTCGGCAATTTATCTTCCTGTTAATTTACTTTAAAAATAATTTATACACATTTATTTGTAAAAAGAGTTATTTTATTAATTTATGACTTGTAATCAATTTCTAAAGCCCAGCAGTTGACTCCAGAAACCACAATGTACTTAATTTCCTAGATTTTTCTCAGTATTCTACTCCATTTTTATAAATCTGATAAAAACTCTCCAAATAATTTGGGACACTGAAATTATCAATAGCAGGAAGAATTAAGAAGTTACTGTGCTCCTAATGCATGAGCATCAGTCATCACACCCTTGTTTCAAATGTGACTTATTCATCCTAATATGCTCATCCTTCTTAAGATGGGGTTTTGGTTTCAAAAGTTACATGATTTATATGCAAATCAATGTAATGCACATTTGTTAGAGAGATTACTTTGAGAATGCAGATATGTACAGGATATTGTCCTGGCCCACCAAAGGCTTACGTGGTTTGGTGGTAATAGACGCAATCACTGATATCTAACACATAATAAAGGAATGAGTTCTATTATACAAACACACAGAACAATAATAGGAGAACAGCGTATGATAAAAGGACTTGAAGTCACAAGGAACTTGGAAAGAGGTTCTGGATGTGATAGGATTTAAGCAGAGCTTCAGAAAATGAATAGCACTCCAACAAAGATTGCCTGAAGGGAGATTAGGGAAACCATAAAAAAAAAAACAAAAAACAAACAAACAACAAAAAACAACAACAAAAAAAACCACTCAGGTGGCTTAAAGAAATTGGTTAGTAGCCTAGCAGAGTTAAGACAGCTACAACAGCAGGGACTAAAAACCTATCTTCAAATTCTAAGAGGAAAGCATGTTGAATTTACAGTAAAGGAGGTAAGAAAAATGCCAGGAAATATTTTAAAAGCTAACTGCAATAGGCCGGGTACAGTGGCTCAAGTCTGTAATCCCAGCACTTTGGGAGGCTGAGGTGGGTAGATCACCTGAGGTCAGGAGTTCGCGACCAGCCTGGCCAACATGTTGAAACCCCATCTCTACTAAAAACACAAAAATTAGCCAGGGATGGTGGGGGGCACCAGTAGTCCCAGCTACTTGGGAGGCTGAGGCACAAGAATCACTTGAACCTGGGAGGCAGAGATTGCAGGGAGCCGAGATTGCAGTGAGCCAAGATTGCGCTCCAGCCTGGGTGATGGAGTAAGACTCCATCTCAAAAAATAAATAAATAAATAAAGCTAACTGCAATGAATCTCAACCTTAACAATACTTTCATCTTTTATTGGTCTATCCAGTATTTCAAGATAATGTATATATTTATCATTATACTTCAGAGTACTTTTATTTTTTTATGATTTTACTAAGCTAATAAACTACTGAACTGGATTCTTCAGAATGCTGTGTCTTGAGGGAGGCACAGAGAGACATCAATAATATCCCCACATCTTTACTCTTGTAAGAAAAAAAAAAAAGCACTTCTACTACTCTGCATGGTTTTGTTTATTGTAGAACCACACCCATATCTTTGCTTCCAAAAGACATAGCTCAAGAAGAAATGTGGATGAATCAGTAACCATACATAGATTTGAATTCTGCTTTTCACATAACAACCTCAACCTATCTTCCAAGTTCATCTCAAAATAGTCATCTTTTTCAGCAGCCTGCATCAACACAGCAGAGAAGTGGAAGATACACACAGGTAGGTTCCTCATTTATGTAAATCTGTGAGGGTTAACCAGATCTGTAAAGTAAAATGCTTTACTTTAAAGACAACATATAGTTCTAAATTCCAAATCCTGAAGAAAAGGAAATGAATACCTAATATAATCAAAGTAATTTTAAGTTAAAAAAAAGGAAACAAAAACTTACCTTGTGTCATTAAGAACCTGAAGTGTGACATTTCTCATAGGACTATTCTACAGAATATTCTCTCTGGAAGTAGGTCTTTGGGAAACATGAGCTTTGGTCCTAAAAGCCTCTCACTAACCACTTTACATGAGGACGACCCCATAGGTCCTTCGAGCCCAATTCCTTATTTGCATAATGAAATGGTAAAAGACCCTTAATATTTCCAAGTATTGTTACAGGAACATTCATGAATAAGTTTTCTAAATTCTATAAATTAATAAAATATGTTGTCATTCTCATTACTTATTTTACCTACATATAAAGAGTGATTCAATACAAATAGAGAAGAGCCCTATTCAATTTTTTGCTTAAGTATGAACAATATGAAGTCTCAAAGCTATTTTTGGACATTAAAAGTGTATTTTCAATGGGTAAAAGGACAAAACCAGTGCTACGGTTTGAATGTCTCCTCCAAAATTCATCTTGAAATTTAATTGCCATTGTAACAGTATTAAGAATTAAGATATTTAAGAGGTGATTAAGCCATGAAGGCTCTGCCCTTGTGAATGAATTAATGTCTTTATCTCAAGCATGGGTTCCTATCACAAGAGTGTGCTACTTATCACAAGAGTGCTACTTATCACAAGAGGATTCCTATCACAAGAGTGTGATACTTATCACAAGAGTGCTACTTATCACAAGAGGACGCATTTGGTCCTGTTTTGTCTCTGTCACCCTCTCTTGCCCTTCTACCTTCTGCCATGGGATGACACAGCAAGAAGGCCCCTGCCAGATGCTGGCCCCTTGATCTTGGATTTCTCAGCCTCAAGAACCATGCCAATAAATTTCTGTTCATTATAAATTACCCAGTCTCTGGTATTTTGTTTTAGTAGCCCAAAGCAGACTAAGAAATCAATAAGCAATGCAATGTTGCTTGGTTTGACTTGGTTTTCAAACTGCCTAAACTCAGAAAGATTTTCCAACTTGAGCATTGATCTAATAGGATGAACTAAAAGAAGAACAAATTTGGAGGGAAAGAAAGATAAAGAATAATGAGGAAGACATCTAATATCCTGCTGGGAAAAAAATAGACATTTCATTTGCTTAAAAGTAATATGCAAAATCAAAATACTATTTATTTACCACTTATGACCATAAGAGTTTCAAATATATAAACTATAAATGATCTTTGTTGATGGAACGGTGATAATGCAAAAATGACATTTGTTGATCCTAAGTCTTTGTTCTGAAATTGCAAAGGACTTTCACAACAATACCCCACTGAATTCTCTCAACTGAAATGGGCAGCACAAACCTCATTTTATAGATAACATTTAGTTAAGAGGGATTAAATAACATGCAAAAATTACACAAGTAGTGAGTAAATCACTCAAGACACAAACCCAGATCTGACTTACAGTTCTTCCTGTACTCCAGAGAAGGGCATAAGCACTCTCAGATGCTCCCAAGACATTATTTTCTGGGGGAGAGAGGATGAGTTTATGAGATTCTTCCTTTTCCAGCTACAAATCTGCATAAGGCCAGATCTTTTCATATACTTTAACCATACCAATTTATGGCAACAGATTAAAATCAGATGCAATCATGAGAATTCTCATGCAATCACGAGAAAGCCAGATATTAAAGAGACTCAAAAATGAAAAATAATGCCACTCTTCTAATTAGTTGTTTTGATTCAGTAAACGCAGTTATTTTCATAAAATGCATCATTTATATTAATATGTAATGGGTATATTGTTGTTATTTTAAATAAGTTAATAAATGTTTAGAAGTCTTTCATCATTTTTAATTTCTAAAACGGTAAATGCCAATAGATATAATCCACCACAAAAAGTTATTTGGGGTCCTCAATAATTTTAAGAGTACAAAGGGCTCCTGATACCAAACCAAAAGTCTGACAAATACTGCTCTACACTATGGTCCAAGCGAGTCCATTTCTCATCTACATTTTTAATATAGCATTTAATTTTCAAGTTTACCAAAGTAGCACATGCTTTTCTCTCACTCGTAGAAAAGGGCTAATGCAGAAAATATTTAAAAAATCATTTGACTAACAAACCCACTACCCTAATATAATCATTGTTAACATTTACAACATTTATTTCTCTCTGAGGTTTCTTTCTCACTTAGGAATACATTTTACATGTGATCTCTTGCTTGACATAATGCTTTTTTTCCAATTAACACTGTGCAAGGACTACTTAATGTGTGATGCTACTAATCCTATGTACAGGTCTTTTAATGGCTGCATAATATTCTAACTCATATGTATAATTAATTTAGCCACTTCCCAGTTGTTAAATTCTTAAGCTGTGCCCTAATTTAAAATGTTATAAATGAGAGTGGTGAAAGAGGGCATCCTTGTCTTGCACTGGATTTCAATGGGAATGCTGCCAGTTTTTGCCCATTCAGTATGACATTGGCTGTGGGTCTGTCATAAATAGCTCTTATTATTTTGAGATAAGTTCCATCAATACCTACTTTATTGAAAGATTTTAACATGAAGGGATGTTGAATTCTGACGAAGGCCTTTTCTGCATCTATTGAGATGATCATGTGGTTTTTGTCATTGGTTCTGTTTACATGATGGATTACCTTTACTGATTTGTGTATGTTGAACAAGCCTTGCATCCCAAGGATGAACATAGTGCTAGAAGTTCTGGCAAGGGCAATCAGGCAAGAAAATGAAGTAAAGGGTATTCAAACAGGAAGACAGGAAGTCAAATTGTCTCTGTTTGCAGATGACATGATTCTCTATTTAGAAAACCCCATTGTCTCAGCCCCAAAACTCCTTAAGCTGATAGGTAACTTCAACAAAGTCTCAGGATACAAAATCAATGTGCAAAAATCACAAGCATTCCTATACACCAACAATAGACAAGCAGCCAAATCATGAATGAACTCCCATTCACAATTGCTACAAACAATAAAATACCTAGGAATACAGCTAACAAATAATCAGAAGGGCTTCTTCAAGGAGAGCTACAAACCATTGCTCAAGAAAATAAGAGAGGACACAAACAAAGGAAAAACATTCCATCTTCATGGATAGGAAGAATTAATATCGTGAAAATGGCCATGCTGCCCAAAGTAATTCATAGATTCACTGCTATTCCCATCAAACTACGATTGACATTCTTCACAGAATTAGAAAAAAATTACTTTAAACTTCATATGGAACCAAAAAAGAGCTCGTATAGCCAAGACAATCCTAAGCAAAAAGAACAAACCTGGAGGCATCACCCTACCTGACTTCAAAGTATACTACAAGTCTACAGTAACCAAAACAGCATGGTACTGGTACCAAAACAGACATATAGACCAATGGATCAGAACAGAGACCTCAGAAATAACACCACGTATCTACAGCCATCTGATCTTCCACAAACCTGACAAAAACAAGCAATGGGGGAAGGATTGCCTATTTAATAAATGGTGCTGAGAAAACTGGCTAGCCATACAAAGAAAGCTGAAACTGGACCCCTTCCTTATGCCCTATACAAAAATTAACTCTCGATAGATTAAATGTAAAACCCAAAACCATAAAATCCTAGAATAAAGCCTAGGAAATACCATTCAGGACATAGGCATGGGCAAAGACTTTATGATGAAAATGCCAAAAACAATTGCGACAAAAGCAAAAATTGACAAATGGTATCTAATTAAACTAAAGATCTTCTGCACAGCAAAAGAAACTATCATCAGAGTGAACAGGCAATCTACAGAATGGGAGAAAATTTTTGCAATCTACCCATCTGACAAATGTCTAATATACAGAATCTACAAGGAACTTAAACAAATTTACAAGAAAAAAACAACCCCATCAAGAAATGGGCAAAGGATGTGAACAGACACTTCTCAAAAGAAGACATTTATGCAACCAACAAACATATGAAAAAAGTATTTCAGTACTTCAAAGGTGGTGTTCCATTGATCTTCTGTCTTGCAATGTTTCTGATAAGAAATTTCATGTAATTCTTTTTCCCTCATTATGTATTATATCTCTTTATTCTGGCTGCATTTTCTTTTTTAAGGCTTTCAGGAGCATAAATACAAAGTGTGTAGTTGTTTTGTCTTTGGTATTTATTCTGCTTGACATTTTCTGAGCTACTTGAATCAGTATATTTTATTATTTTGGGAAAACTCTTGGTCATTATCTCTTCAGTATTTTTTTCTGTTTTATTCTCTCTCTTTTCCCTCTATTTGTATTGCAATCCCATCTTCTTCCCATATTGTTAGAATCCAGCTTACTTAGCTACCCTATAACCTAAACTTTCTGCTGGGTTAAGGAAAAATTATAATTTTGAAGGTTATCTGGCATTTAATTACTATTAAGCTAGGAGTAATTCACTTAGCAGCTTCCTACTTTCTTGTCAGAAAACTATAAATGATCTTTGTTGATGGAACTGATCATTAGAGAAATGCAAATCAAAACCACAATGAGATACCATCTCATGACAGTCAGAATGGCAATTATTAAAAAGTCAAGAAACAATAGATGCTAGTGACACTGTGGATAAATAGGAACACTTTTACACTCTTGGTGGGGATATAAATTAGTTCAACCATTGTGAAAGACAGTGTGGCGATTCCTCAAGGATCTAGAACCAGAAATACCATTTGACCCAGCAATCCCGTTACTGGGTATATAACCAAAGGAATATAAATCATTCTACTATAAAGACACATACACACGTATATTTTTTTTGCAGCACTATTTACAATAGCAAAGACATGGAACCAACGCAAATGCCCATCACTGACAGACTGGATACATATACACCATAGAATACTATGCAGCCATTAAAAGGAATGAGATCATGTCCTTTGCAGGGGCATGGATGAAGCTGGAAGCCATTATCCTCAGCAAACTAACATAGGAACAGAAAACCAAACACAAGTTCTCACTCATAAGTGGGAGTTGAACAATGAGAACACATGGACACAGGGAGGGGAACAACACACACCGGGGCCAGCCAGGGGGTTGGGGTGCGATGGGAGAGAGAGCATTAGGACAAATAGCTAATGCATGTGGGGCTTAAAACCTAGATGATGGGTTGATAGGTGTGCCAAACCACCATGGCACACATATACTTATGTAACAAACCTACACATTCTGTACTTGTAACCCAGAACTTAAGGTAAAATAAAAAATTAATTAATTAATTAAAAAATTATCAATAAGGGAAGGTGCAAAGAGTTCCTAATGCTATTCCCTGTTTCTGGGTGGTAGATGAAGGCACACAAAAGAACTCGTATGCTTTGTTGTGGCAAGGAAGGATTTGCTAATGCAACTAAATTAGCTTTAAATAATGTCCATTTAGGTTAATTTATTTATTCTACAAATGATCGTTAAACTAAGATTCAAATGACAAAAAAAAAAGTAGCCAACTGTGAGAAATTCCAGGGAAGAACACTCCAGCAAAACTTCATACAAATACATTCAGGCAGGATCTGTTTGATATCTCTAAGGAACAGAAATTACCAGTATGGCCAGATGCTTCAAATTAATATTTTCCTCTTACGTGGCAAAAGTTTCTCATAGGCTCTTGTTTTTTTTTTTTTGAGATGGAGTCTCGCTCTGTCACCCAGGCTGGAGTGCAGCGGCACGATCTAGGCTCACTGCAAGCTCCGCCTCCCAGGTTCACGCCATTCTCGTGCCTCAGCCTCCCGAGGAACTGGGACTACAGGTGCCCGCCACCACACCCAGCTAATTTTTTGTATTTCTAGTAGAAACGGGGTTTCACCATGTTAGCCAGGATAGTCTCAATCTCCTGACCTCGTGATCCGCCTGCTTACCTTAACCTTTAATATGATACATATTTAGATCTAGGAGTACATTACCCCTACCTGAAGAAGAGTATGTTAGTCTTTATCCTGGCCATTTTCCACATGGATGCTGGGAGAATGAATGCATAGGATATGTTAACTTTATATAATAAATATAAAGATGTATAAAGACAATTATAAAGATAAGTAATGCGCTGACAAGTACAGAACCTAATCTGGCAATCATTTATGTTTTGCAGTACTGTTGGAGTAAAGTGGGATCTCTTATCTCTACTCAGTGATAATTTGATTATAAGCAAAAGATCTTATAAATATAAAACCATATATAATTTACGTTTAACTGGATGGGATATGAATAGCAAAAGAGGAGACATTTAGTAGAAGGTACCACTTTTTGAAGAAATCCAGTGGTGAAGAAAAGACAGGGTAGAAAGTTTGTTACAGAGATGGGATGGACAAGAAAAAGTTGTATTTGTTGGTTTGAGACATAATGAACAGTCATTTATCAGACACCTTCATTACTGATATACCTGAGAAATCAATGTAATCAATTTCTGGATGCAGAAATTGTTTTCATAATAGTGAAAATGTGAAGTTAAAAGTGTGAAAATCAACTCTGTACCTGCCCCTGTAAAACATATATGTTTTCATTTTGAGGGATATAGTAAGGTAATAATAATATGCAATTATTGGAAATGATGGTCAACATCAAGCCACCATTTCTCAACCTGAAAGGTAAACTAAAAACTTTTCTCAGCAACAGTCACTTGTTTCCATTCCAAGTTGGGAAGCAAGAGAAAGTTGATAATTTTTATTTTCAGACTAATTCTACTTTAATTTACAATTTTTTTCAACCACTTTATATATTCACTCATTCGACCATGCTAACATTTCCTTCCCTAAAATTCTATAACACTTACTAACCTAAATTTTTAATTCCCTACATATCATATGCTGGTGTATACTATTATTTATCCTTTCATATGATTATGTTTATCACCTCAGTAGACTATGGCTCCTTAAGAGAAAAAATCAAGACTAAATCTTTTTGAAACTTTTTGTGAGCTGGATTCCCATAAATTGACTAATTGGTCAGTATATGATCAAAAAGCAACACTGGCCACTTTATTAATTCTATTCATGTTTAGCAAAGATTTGTATAACCTTTATCTAAGTAATAACTAAAAACTTAAATATAAAAGCACATGACTATTGCCAAAAATGGAGATAGATCATGGAGTAAGGCCATAATTATCTAAAGAGTAAGATTCACAAAGGTATAATACCTTTTAGTCAAGAGCTTTAATTTGTTTAGAGGGAAATAAAGCATTTATTAAAGGTACAATAACATATAAAAATGTCCATCATACTTTTGAAAGCTCTTAACTAGGCACAAGGGCAAAAAAAGGCATGGTCACACCCACTACAAGCAAACAGATGTTTATAACCAAAGCAGAAAGGGACATAGAGGGGTGGTGGTGAGTATTCTCTTCAAAAGGTTTATCTTCTCTTTAGAATCTAGAACAGCCACAAAGTTGTTTCTTTAAGTCATCAAGCTGTACTGTGGCTAATCAAAAAGTAAAATAAAAGTCAGAACCCTAAGAATCCAATTATAAAAGCCTGTACAATTCAAAGTTCTAATTTTGTAAAAATACAGCGAAACAAAATTTTCTACAGATAAAATACAATAAATGCCCAAAGGAAGCAACATAAGTGTACTTGGATTTCTCATTTTACTCCACCAGATTTATTCTCCATCCTTCTTTGTACATCACTATATCCTACAAGTTGACCATTACAGGTTGCATCAACAGACACTCTTGTCCTCTGGCTTTTTATTGGGGTTAGGCCAATGGAAAGCACAGTAGGGGATTGAAAGGCAGAAAGAGAATGAGGTCAGGGCACTGATTCTCCCAATCCTCTCTTGCCAGCTGTGGTTAGAGAGTGGCTACAGTCCAGTGAAGTAGCTTTTTCCTACAGTTACATCTCCTCAGGTTCAATAACTTCTCTCTTCCTTGCACCTTCAGGCTCAAGGGTAATAAAGGCAGGCCCTGGGTTCTGTACCATCTTTTTGGTCTTACTTTGATGGCATAAATAATACCTTGATGGTATAAAAAATAAATTAACTAAACAACTAATCCAAATTAAGAGTTGGAGAATAGGGAGGCAGAAAGAAGCAGAAATGTACTAATTTTCACATCTTTAATTGCTCAAAGCTGTTAGATAATACCTCAAAATAAATATGGAATTAGAGGGCTTTTAACTTCTGACAAGAAAGTAGGAAGCTGCTAAGTGAATTACTCCTAGCTTAATAGTAATTAAATGCCAGATAACCTTCAAAATTATAATTTTTCCTTAACCCAGCAGAAAGTTTAGGTTATAGGGTAGCTAAGTAAGCTGGATTCTAACAATATGGGAAGAAGATGGGATTGCAATACAAATAGAGGGAAAAGAGAGAGAATAAAACAGAAAAAAATACTGAAGAGATAATGACCAAGAGTTTTCCCAAAATAATAAAATATACTGATTCAAGTAGCTCAGAAAATGTCAAGCAGAATAAATACCAAAGACAAAACAACTACACACTTTGTATTTATGCTCCTGAAAGCCTTAAAAAAGAAAATGCAGCCAGAATAAAGAGATATAATACATAATGAGGGAAAAAGAATTACATGAAATTTCTTATCAGAAACATTGCAAGACAGAAGATCAATGGAACACCACCTTTGAAGTACTGAAATAAAAAAAAATGTCAATCAAAAATTCTTTCCCCAGCAAGCTATCTTTCAAAATTAAGAGGAAATAATGGCTTTCTTTCACACAAACAATAACTAATGTAAGTCCTTACTGGCAGTCCTGTACTACAAGAAATGTTAAAGTTCTTCAGACAAAAGAAATATCATGGAAACCTGGATCTACACACACACAAATATAAGATCTTTAGAAATAGTTAAAGTGAAGGTAAACATTTTATTTAAAAAACAAAAAAGACTATTATTTTTACTCTAAAATATAATTGAATCTCTAAAGCAACAATATTAGCAATTATATAAAAAGTTAATTATATGATAAAGGTAGAACAAAAGATGTGAAAAGGAATTGGAAAAATACTGTTGGAAAGTTTAACAATACATATGATGATTAACCTTCATTAAAAATGCATATCCTAAAGCCTAGCAACCACTAACAAAATATTAAAAAGAGGTTTTAATAATAAGTCCATGAAATGATACAAAATACTTAGTTAATCCAAAGGAGGCAGACTTAACATATTTAAAGGGAAAATTCAAAAATTGGAAGATACAAGTTAAGAAAATATACAGAATGCAACACAGGAAAACAATAAAATGAGAAACATGAAAGGCACAAGAAGTAATAGAGATTAGAGTACACGGTACTAACAAATATCTAATTAGAATCCTAGAAGGAGGGAAACAAGAAAATGGAAAAGAGATATTCAAAAAGATAATGGCTAATAATTTTCCAAAGTTAGAAATTACCTTGATTCTAAAGTTAGAGAAATGTAAAAAAACCTAAGAAGGATAAATACAAATAAAATAATCAATAAACACATTGCATTGAAACTGTAGCACATCAAAGACAAAGCATTACAAAAACAGCATGAGGAAAATAAAGACAAACTGCTTTGAAGGGAACAACATATAAGCTAAGAGCTAATTTCTCAACAACAATAAAAATCAGAAGGCAGTGGAATTCTCAAGAGATATGCTTTAGGAAGAAAAAAGTTATCTCGGAAAAGACATCTGAGGTACAAAAGGAAAACACAAGCAAGGAAAAGTGATATACAAATAGGTAAATCTAAATAATCCATTGATCATATAAAACATTTTTAAATCTAGTCTGTTAATAAAAATAGAATAAAACTAAAATTATATATATTATATATGCACATATAATAATAAATATATATTCATAGAATTTGAGAAGTAAAGCATTTTAAGCTCCTGTTTTAGCTGGTAAGAGATTAAAGATATTATTTTTAGGCTGTTAATTTTAATATGTGTGTTAAAATACCTAGGATAATAATTAAAAGGGTAAAAATTAAATGCAAAAAACACAATCTAGCAGTGGGGGGAGAATACAATGTGAACCATAAACAAAATGCACTAAACTCCTCCCTGCAAAAGCAAGAGAGTAGAAAATAGGAAAAGAGAAAAAGTAGAATAAATCAAAAGAATAAAATGCAATGTTAAATGTAATTCACAGAAAATGTGAATAAACAGAATTATGCAGTTAAAAGCAACAGATTATCAGACCAGCAATAGACTGTTCAGAATTCTCATGTGTTGAGAAAAGACAGGAGTTGGAATGAATGAAAGAGAGGTGAGAAGAACAAGTGGAGACTAGAATAACCTTGACTTAGTGAAGAAGCAGTAAGTAAACTGGTCAGATGTGGCAGAGTGTTCACATTTAGAAGCAGTAGAAATTAATTTCTCCAGGTTTAGAATTCATGTGGTAGAAAATTGTGAGCTACTGAGCAAAAGAAAGAATGATAATAGTAGTACATAAGTGTGGAGGGTAAATTGACATTGATGGGTTAGAGTGTGAGATTCCATAACTCACTCTGAGGAAGATAATACTATGGGCATGATGAATTTGAGAATCATCTTTAAAATCATTATCTTTGTTGGGAGATTTGGCAAGACAGTAAGGATGAGGATAAGAGGGCAGGAAAGTGGAATCAGAGACATAAAATTCATTTATTAACCTTTTCTAGTTACCAATTTTGATTTCACTACCTATTAAACTTTCTAATCTGAAAATGAACTTATTTATTCTTCAAAAGAGTTCTGCTTAACAGCTCATTCTTCCAGAATGATACAATTACTGATACATTTCAAACCCCTCCTCTAAGTATTTTTTCCTATGGTAGAATGGAAATGCATTAAAATGCTAAAAATGAAGTTCAAATTCAGTAACTTTCCATTGGCACAGATAAAATGTAAATCTGTAATGCAGCCCTTTAATGTATATTTTGGAAAGAAAAGAAAAGATGAGTACTTGAAACATATGTACAGGTCAAAGAAATACAATGAGGATATATCATGACCGTAATATAATCGCCCTGCCTTATTTATTTGCACCCTCCCAAATCTAAAAGTGGCATTGCTTTCAAGTTTTAGCCAAAAAAGCATAGAATGAACTTAAATACAATGTAGTCAAGAACCAAACACCAGAACTCTAACTTATAATCAACACACCCATCCCATAAATACAGGAGAAACTCTAGTGGAGTGGTAGAATTACAGGGAGCAGACCAGTATTTGCTTTGGCAGATGTGGAGTCTGTGCAAATAGGAACACAGCTGTATGCAGAATACTTTAGTGTTTCTAAAACTGCTGAATTAGACATAAAGAAATACCCAAAGTTGCAATGTATCGGCAAGTTTACAGAACAAAGTGCCATTTTGATATTTTAAAATTTTTTTACAGAATCTGTCATCTGTACTAAGCACTTTTGTCACCTTGTTAGCTGTAATGCAATACTTCCAGTTTCATGGTCGAGGCCACGCCCTACTTACATGGTTACAGTTCTTTTCTTACTTTAGAGACTTTATTATTTTCCACAAGTATATTCCGAACTCCAGAGGAACTGGTGACTCTTTAGCCTAAAAGAGACTTAATTAAATGAATAATTAGTTACATATGTGTGAAAATTTCAATAAAAGTGAAATATCTCACACTGAAGTTCAGAAAAGCAATGCTAGAAAATTATTGAGAATAAAATTGGAGAACTTAGTCTGTAACTTTCCCTGTCTAAGAATGAACCATTTTCTTTTTTGTCTTTTTTTTTTTTTCTTTTGAGACGGAGTCTCGCTCTGTCGCCCAGGCTGGAGTGCAGTGGCGCCATCTCGGCTCACTGCAAGCTCTGCCTCCCGGGTTCACGCCATTCTCCTGGCTCAGCTTCCCGAGTAGCTGGGACTACAGTCGCCCGCCACCACGCCCGGCTAATTTTTTGTATTTTTAGCAGAGACGGGGTTTCACAATGTTAGCCAGGATGGTCTCGATCTCCTGACCTTGTGATCCGCCCGCCTCGGCCTCCCAAAGTGCTGGGATTACAGGCGTGAGCCACCGCGCCCAGCCAGAATGAAGCATTTTCACATAAAGCTCTTTGAATTCCCCAATGTTGTAAATTATGCTATTTTATAGAGAAGTTTAGGTCGCTTTAACATTTCAAAAATGAAAATGAAAGAGAAGCACCATTCCATTCATCAAGCAGGGCTTTGCCCAAAGATGTTTGCTAATTGAATAATGACTAAATATCCCCATAGTACCTTACTTCTCCCACTCTTCAAAATTTTAAGGACTTCTTTCTTAAAAGAATCTACTGCAACCTCCGTTGTTTCTAAACTAGGAGTTCATGTGTGTCTACTTCCCTGCTGATTCAGCTTTAGATCTGTATGACTCATATTTCAGTAATTCTTAAATTGTCTTACATACACTTTCGAACTAATGAATCCATTTCATCTTTAAACTTTAATTTCAGCATGCTAGGGTATCTCTCTCCTTTAATTCATTTTTCCTTTAGATTTCTGTCCTAATACTATAAAAATATGGGGACTTAATCAAAGACCACAAACAGGTTCCATCCTGTGGCTTAACTCCTGATTGATTCATGTGACTGCCTGGAGGATTGTAGTGGGAAGAGCCTGAGTACAAGTCTCTATCTTGTCTTGGATTAATTATGTTGTGTTGAATTAATTATGTCTTCTATGGGCTTGGAATGGTGGAGTGAGAAGTGGTAGAATACCTGCGATTTATTTGTGACCCCAGGTCTTGGGATCTCCTGGTAGATATTAATGTTTTATCTCATAAAACTCTAAACTAGTTAAAACTACCACACATCTTTCTGCAGCATTCTCTGTAGTTTTTCACACCTGGAAATAGGGAAGGAGACTCCTAACACCGTTATCCTAACAACAGTGACACTTGATCTCTGTTTCACTGAAGGATTTTATTGATAGTCACCTCTACCTCCCACCTTTATGTTGAGTCATTTATAAAGAAGCAAAGAAGTATAATTTCTTCACACAAGAATATGGAGACTCCTGCCTTAAAAACACAGCTTATTCTGTTTCCCATTTTGTTAGCCAAAAGAGAAGAAATCTTTAAAGAGGCCAAAATATCTGAATTAACCAAAGAACATTTGTGTTCACTCTATACCAGACACTGTGCTAAGTGCTTTATGTGGATTATTTCATTAGCACAGACATTTAGTCCTGGAGATGTTCAGTAATGTGTTCAGGGACCCAGTGCTGGTGAGTAGCAGAAAAGGAATATGAACCCAGGAAATCAAATCCCAAATCTCATGTTCTTAATTACAATGTGAGGTTACTTTTCTAAACAAGGCAATGGCCACTTCTAGTTTTCAGCAAAATAATGGAACTGAATGCTGATGTTCAGAAACAGCAGTTTATATTTGGCCTTGGGTTTGATTCTTATGTTCATAACCTACTTGTTACCTGAGTCACTATGAACCACTCTTCCCTTGAATGGAAAATGGAAGCAATGTTCCCTAAATGGTGAAATTAATATGAAGATTAGTAAAGTAATTGCATATAGGACACCTGGCCCATAGTAAATGTCAGTAATTATTGGTTATCTACATTCATATTTTAATTTCTTGTGATTCCTATAGTAATAAGACCTTTAGGTTTAAAAAAACATAATTTACTAGAGAAGCAAAAATAATGATTTTTTATGAATTAGAAGTTTGTATAACATAATAGAATTAGGATATCACATTTATTAGAAAAATTGGTGGAAGTTTTAAGTAATTATAGAACAACTTCTTATTACCCCACCAAAATCCTGTGTCTTAAAATAAACTGTTTAAAGTAGGAGAGTGATAAGCTCCTCCCCATTTAACAAACTGCTGTTACCATTTCTTAAGTCTGCGGTAAACTTTTCGATGATTACTAGGTGTGTATATCACATAACAGCCCAGGAGTAAAGGAGCTAAGTAGGGAACAGGAAACTAGGGAAAAAGCTAGTTTAAGTGAATTCAGGCTCACTGGTGGACTCCATAGAAAGGATGTGTAGTTAGGACTATGTCAAAGCTGGGAAGTGGGGAACCGGGAAGGGCAGTGAGTTACCATAATCACATAAACAAATGGCAAGAGCAAGAACAGCCAAGACTGAACCAACCATATGCTGAAAGAAGCTTAAAGCGGGTAAATTCAACAAAGCAGTAGATGTACAGCATCCCAGACCAAATTCTGCTGTCTTTATCTGTTATGACACTCTCAGAAACCTAAGGGCCTACACTCAGCTTGAACAGAGGGCACATATGCTTTCATGCTACATGTGTGTGCCCTTTAGACCAACTGCATGCTGAGGCACAAATAGTAGTTGCCTATATATCCCTGTATATTGTAATTTGAGAATATAAGAAGTTTCTTCTCCAAAATACACCCTGGGATGGATAGAAGTTCTACAAGCAAAGGAGTGGTCCCCTGTTAAAACCATGAAGGACTAGGGCCAAGTCTGAATAACCACCAGAGGAAAGGAAAATCTTTCCTTATTTGTCATTTACAAAGACTTACCTGAAACAGTATCTGCCCAACCTATTCACACTGAGAGCAATTTTGAGGAAGTTGCTTGAGATCAATAAAATATGGGGGACACGGGGAAGGCATGAAGAGCCACAGAGGACAGCAGGATTGTGAAAGATGACTTTGGAAGATTTGGATAACAATGACACATACTCGAAAGTTGTGTAGAATTGGCCCAAGGTACTCTGATAATTTGTTTCAACTGAATTTTGAGCAGTGATTAAATAAGAACCTGTAAATTCTATTAAATGCAGAAGCCTAAATTAAAATTGTTTTATTTGTCTTGTAACATTGCCAACAATTTTTATAAATCATTCTAATGTACACTTTTAAGAATAACAAATGTACTTTTGTAAACATAACCTTGGATTTTATGCAAAAGACTGAAAAATAACCATGTTTGCACTTAAAAGATTGGAAAATATTTTTTGAAGTAAACTAGTAATACCAATGCAGATCAAAAGAAAATTTAGTTTTCTGTTTGGGTATGCTAAATTGGAATTAAATTAGGATATGTGTATGACTTTTCAAACTTAAACTAGAGGAATGTGAATTGGAGTTTCATATTATGGTATTTTCAAAAATTGGCTGCATTTTCTCATTGACTCCTCTAATCCTTTTTTTTAACTTTTACTAAACAAAATATTTTTGTATCACTGACCCATATTTTCAAAATTATGTCAAAAATAACTCAAGAAAAAAATTAACAAATATTTTAGCTTCCATTCTATTAAATGTAAGTTACAAAGCACTTGCTTTGTTATTTTACAATTTCAATTAATTCCCTTTAATAGCATTCACCAGTCATACAATTCTGTTATCAAGCATCCATTAAATGCCAGTTTCTGGTCTTAGTGCTAAGGTTTGCAAAGATCAATAACCTGCCTACAGGAAGTGTACATGCTAGCTAGTTAGAAAAGATAGTAAATAAATACAATACAATGAAATAAGTATTCTAGGTCACTTCTTCTAGCCAAATTTCTCAAACAACTTCTCCATGTTAGCTGTCTCCATTTTCACTACCTCATTCTTCACTCTACTCCACTTAGCAGAGCAATCACTCTACTGAAAAGGATAAAGGATCCCCCTATGATCATTAATGAGGTCACTAAATCCAGTGCAAAAATCTGTATGATTATCTTACTAAGCCTCAGTAACATTCAAAACTGTTGCTAATCCATCCTTTTGAATTTTTTTCTCACTGTTTCTGTTCCTCTTGTTTCTGATCGCTACTCTTGCCATTTGGGGTCATCCGCTTTGACTCAACTTTAATTGTTAAAGTTATTAAAAATTTAGCCATAATTCTCTGTTTTGCCTTGCTCTCCTCTCCTACTAAGACCTTAGAGTGTGCATGCTAGAAATTCCAAATGTATTTCTCCAGTTAGCTATTACTTTTGAGCTACGAAGTCATTTATGCAACAATCCTCTCAACTCCCCTCTTAAATGTTCAAAGGGATATCAAAGTCAACTTGACTAAATCCAAATTCATTACTGCTCCCCTCCAACCCACCCTCCTTTGCCTAGTTACCCCCTTGTTACCTCCAATTCCAGTTCAAAAGTCACTTCCTCAGGGTACTCCACATAGCAGGAACCAAGGATGTTTTGTTCATTGTTGTACAGTGCTTTGCACAATGTCCATTACATAATAAGGAGTCCATACACACTTGATTTGAATGAATGAACAAACAATCTATAGAAGTACAGAGGAACAGGTCATTAATTTTGTCCAGAACTCTCAGTTTAATGAAGGAGCTGACTCTTAAAGAATGAATAGGATTTTGTCAATAAAAAGGATGGCAGAAGAGGCAACAGATGCAAAACAATGGAGGGATGAAATACTTCAGGAGAATGAAACAAGAACTGCAGAGCAAAGGTCATGGTGCAGAAGGGACTGGAAGTTAGGAGGCAGGATAAGGGCAGTGATAAGAATAGAAACGAAGGATTGGGAAAAGAGCTGAAAAATTCTATTTTGACCAGAATTTGAGGAATCTGAACTTTATCCTACAGGCAATGAGAAGCCACTGGATGTGAAAGTTAAGGAAGAGAGATGATCTGTGTTTTAGAAAGTATACTACATTGGTTATTGAGCTATTGATTCTCATTTTGAATCCATACTTCTGTACCCTGTTCTGGTATGCTGACACAGGGATGCTGCAAATCTTCTTTTATCAGCTGGTTCTTTGGATTATAAAGGGAAACTGGAAGAATGGAAGAAAGGAAAAAAGACTCCCTTTCTCCTGTTTGCTTTGTATTTTTGTCAACATCCTCTTACCATGGCACCAGAACTTTTTTTGGCTTTCCCACAACTGGCCTCATCTGGCCCCCTCGGAGGTACTAGTAGCATGCAGGCAGTGCCCCTTCTTCCAAGTCTGAGCCCTGCTTCATGGGGGTCTTTATTTTAATCTTCTACTTTCTGAAAACTTCAGCCTTCTGCCTCTGTTCCCTGCACTATATAGGTGGTAGAAGCTTCTACAGTGATTCCTTTTATTTTTTAAGTCCTCTAACAACTGATAATCAATACAGTATCAATTCTTTATATTGAAAAACTCAGTTTGGCTTCTGTTGCTCTGACTGGCCCCTGACTGACATAACCTCTTTACTGTGGATTAGAAAATGGAATGGGAAGAACTAGAATTAGGAGACCAGTTAAAAAGCTGTTTCAATATTCTAGCCAAGAGATAAAGTAAGTCAGTGGCTATCCGAGTGAAGATTGATTAAATGATAAAAATAATAATATCTAATATTTCTGTAGCACTTAACATATACAGGTACTGTTCTAAGTTCCATAATCCCCATGACAGAGGTACTATACTTATTTCCATTTTATAGACCAGAAATCTGAGACCCAGGAAGTTTTCAAGTAATGAGCCCCAGGTCACACAGATAGTAGTGCTGGAGACAGAATTTAAACCTCAGTCTTTTGGTTCTAAAGAACTTCCTTTTAACAACAAAAAAGGGTTGAATTCTTGAGGTACTTCTGAGAAAGAAGCAACAATATTTGGATGCTAATTCAACAGAAAGGATCATGGAGAGGGAGAAGTCAGAAAATCTTACAGACTCTTAATTTTGGCTGAGTAGATGATGAAGCTTTTAACTGCAATGGAAAACAAAACAGAAAGATCAGTTTGGGGTTCCTGATAGGAATAACTAATTAATTCAGTTTTGAATATTTTGAATTAAAGATGCTTATAAGAGTGATGTCAGCTGAAAGTTAAATTTGAGTCAGGTGCTTTAAAAAAGTTGACACTGGAGATAAAGATTTCAGAGCCCTGAGAATAAAGAGGTTACATGAAGCCATGAAGGCAGATGGTAATGCCGCCCTGAAAGGGAAGCTAGGGAAAAAGAGTGAGCTGAGTTTTCAGGCCGTTAAATATAAATCCTCCTGGTCCTTTTTTCTACATAAAGAATAGCAAACAGTCTTCAGAAGAAATATATATTAAGCAACAAAATGAAGACATGAGGGATGAAACAAAATGTATGTGGCATGACACACAAGAAAAGTATGAAACTATTCAACTGTTTCTTTTTTCTTCTTCTTTTTTGGAGGAAACAAAAAGAAGAGGAAAAAAGGAAATAAAGAGAGTTTAAAATGAAATGCTTTAGTTCCTAACTGAAATGCAGGATCCCCAAGATTGATTATGCTCCTTAGAACGCTTTGGCCGCAGAGACTGGAATGACATCAGCAAACCAACCCTAGCCGAGGAGAATGAGTCATATTTTCGTCTGTTTTCACTTGATTAAAATATTTTACATTTGTTGAGCTTGAAAAAAAAAAAAAAGGACAGAGGAAGCCATTGAAAGTGGAAAACTGAAAATCCAAATATGGTGAATTTCTGACTCACCAGAATTGCAGCATCATAGGAACTAATAACTTTGATTTAAAGAGACATTCACAAAACAAAAACCAAAAACTTTTATTCAATAAATAATTCTCCAAATTCCATCAAAGTGCTTTAGGGTTTTCTTTAATGTTTAACTTAATACCAATGGAGAAAACACTAAAAGAAGGTCATCTATAACGTTTTTCAAAGTATGAAGTTAAAATCTTGTCAGCTATATTTAAGCATCATCTGGTCTTTATAACTCATTTTGTCCAGATTAGTATAAACTGCTGGTTTTGATGGTTCAAATGTGTCTAAATATTTGCTTCTCTGGAACAGAGGAGGCAGGAAAAGCAGAGTGAAGGGGTGGGACCGAAGGTTTGCTTCTTTATGGGGATCTATGCCAAGTAATCTGCAAACAATCCACTTCCTGGCCAATGACTGCTAACTGATTTCCCCAGGATTTTTTTTTAACTGTAGCTGCTAATACTGCCCTTTATCGCCATTAGCAATTAGAGATTTATAACTAAGCAGACTTCACTTGGAAAAGAAATCTATTACTGCAGACTTCAGGCAGTTATTTTTCTAAGTATGTGAATTATTGTGAGGCTCAAATCATATAAGCGAAAGACGTGGGTAAATTGTGAAGCCCTATATAAACTTCAGTTATGATTTGTTTAACAGGCCAGAGCATATAGAGATCATCTAAAATGGGAGTAACACTGTTCGGTATCATTTCAAATTAAGAAATCCTGATGCTTTCCAAAATTTCATTGTTCTTTATCCTATAATGACGTTCACTAAATATTGTTCATCAGTAAAACTTACCAAACTCTCCAACAACCAGTAGGTGGGTCTCTCCAAATATAATCAAAACACATATTTTAAAAACTTAAAAACTTTTCTCACCTTAAGTTTAAAACTATATTGTGCCAAAAAATTAGATGATAAGTACTGCACTGTTAAAAATCATTATCATTATTATAGAAAGTGTAGACCAAGAGTTAAAGTTTATATATTAAGAATAGTTCTTATATATCAATGAGAATAAGGCAGAGACTCCAGTAGAAAAATAGGCAAAACTACAGACAGTCCATATATTTAAAAAATATAAATGGCCACAAATAAATAGATAAGAAAATAATTACCAGCTTACTAAAAATCAAGTAACAAAAACTAAAAAACAATGAAGTAATATTTCTTACATTTCAAATTAACAAAGATTAAAAATGAAAATACTCAGGGGGGAGGGAGCCTGTGAAGATGACAGATACAGTGACTGCATAGTTTTTGGCTCTAGCAGAAACCCTACATTAAAAGAGCAGCAAGAAAGTAAAACCAAAAACTCATGGACAACATTTTTAACAAAACTTGATGGCAATATATAAATGTGTGGGTACAAACCACCAATAGCCTCGAGCCTCTGTGATTTGAGAAGCTGTGCAAAAGAAAGCAAGGAAAGTGCATTTGATGGACTTGAGAAATGACAGGACAACCCCAAAATAGCTGCCAGCAAGTATTCACTTAAAAATCCCATAGCCCACTTTGAGATCAAAGGCTTAGAGGAGGAGGTGGCACAGTGAGGGGATTATTTTATCACTTACGTTGTTTAGAATAACCATTGCAGGCTGATAATACAAAGCAGATCAACCTTCAGTAGTTCATCTGTATTTTACCTCTACATAGACAACGTGGCCTCCTTCCTGCCTGTACCTAAGGCAAATTGCTTCCACTGCCACCTCTATACCTTGAGATGCTACCGAGCTTACTGGAACTAGGAGGCATTTTGTCAAATACAATAGCAAATGAATGAAAAAGGCCCATCAAATGGGCTGGGGCAATCTGTCTCCTGTGAATTCTTAAAACTTGCTGGGCGCGGTGGCTCATGCCTGTAATCACAGCACTTTGGGAGGCAGAGGTGGGCTGATCAACTGAGGTCAGGAGTTCAAGACCAGCCTGATCAACATGGTGAAACCCAGTCTCTATTAAAAATACAAAAAATTAGCTGGGCGTGGTGGTGGGCGCCTGTAATCCCAGCTACTCAGGAGGCTGAGGCAGGAGAATTGCTTGAACCCAGGAGGCAGAGGTTGCAGTGAGCCGAGATCGTGCCACTTCACTCCAGCCTGGGCAATAGAGCAAGACTCAGTCTCAAAAAAAAAAAAAAGTATCTGCCAGGGCTCTCCTCCAGCACAGGCCCCTACACTGAGATGACACTGATAGGAGCGAAAGAAAAATTGAATGGTAGATGGGCAATAGAGACAAAGGAAAGGCAAGACCAAGATAAATTGGGGTGGCAAGAGGAGGGGGAAACAAGAGAATCAGGAACTCTCAAAAAGTAAGCTGCTATAATTTTTAACACTATAAATATAGTGTTAAATATATATATATATATATATACACACATATATATATTTTTGGAGATGGAGTTTCGCTGCTGTTGCTCAGGCTGGAGTGTGACAGCGCGATCTGAGCTCAATGTAACCTCTGCCTCCTGGGCTCAAGCAATTCTCCTGCCTCAGTCTCTCAAGTAACTGGGACTACAGGCGCATGTCACCATGACTAGCTAATTTTTTAGATTTTTAGTAGAGACGGGGTTTCACCATGTTGGTCAGGCTGGTCTAGAACTCCTGACCTCAGGTGATCCATCCACCTCAGCCTCCCAAAGTGCAGGGATTACA
Organism: Homo sapiens; assembly: GCF_000001405.40. Lineage (NCBI taxonomy): Eukaryota > Metazoa > Chordata > Mammalia > Primates > Hominidae > Homo > Homo sapiens. The sequence continues at coordinate 189,213,167 of NC_000002.12, forward strand.
GGCATGAGTCACCACGCCCTGCCTTAACACTATATTTTTAAAAATCTTAAAGGGGGGAGTTGTATAAAAAGTTAGAAAAATCATCTGAACCAAGCCTCTTTCTAAAATTTCAGAAAAAACAAATTAACTTTAAAAAATGACCAAGAGAAAAGTATCAAGATTAAATGCTATAAAAAGTTACTATAACAAAAGGAGAATACAGAGAAGAATAATATTCCTACAAACACTGAAAGTGTGCCAAAACACGTCATAAAAACAGAGACAGCCAGACATTATGTGCTTCTTGAAGAAAGAACACATCAGCTGTGATCTTGCCATATGATTGAATTTAACTCTGATCAAGTCTCTAGATCCAGCTGTCAATATGCAGGAAATATAGAGGGAAGAGGAACTGCACCATCACTATGCAAGCAGCAAAATCCAGACTGTAGGAAACTACAGGCTATGGCCTGGGTTCCTCAAATTAACCGAAAGGGAGGAGGACTGGAGAGAGAATTTATAGATTAAAAGACTTAAGAGACATACCATCCTAAAATCATGAGCGAGAGTGAACCCCAATGCCTATAAATACATAGTTGGTGATGAAGCCACAGAGAAATGCAAGAAAGGGATTGATACAAAAGTAAGGAGAGTCCCTGGATATTTTCACAGTTCCTCTGCAGGAAAGTAGAGAGTAGTTGTGATCAGGATGGAACACACAGAAAGGCTTCTGGGTAGCTGGATGTGTACGTCTTGATCTGGGTATAGTGACAAGGCTATTTGCCTTATTATATTTCATATACACATATACATATATATGCATGTGTGTTTTTGTATCTGGATTATATTATACAATGAAAAATGTTTTTAATGGTAGTACCTAGTGTAAACTAAGATGTGGGGTAAAAGACACACCTACTTCTACACTTCTATAGTTATTTGTGTACATAGATTTTTAAAAATATGTAAAATGGCATATTAAACATATCAAAAAACCTTAAAAATATAGATAAGCTTATATTCATCTATTCAGCAATTCCATTTCTAAGAATTTATGCCTAAAAATATGAAGCCTGAACAAAGACATATTATTCACAGCCTTATTCTTTATGTCCAGGAAAGTAGAAATACCTTAATGTTCAACAATAGCAGCTTGATTAAATAAATTATAAATCCTATATAGATAATAAATTAATATAATGAAACTAATAGAGATGCCTAATTAATGACATGGAAAGCATTCATGTCATGTTAGACACAACAATACTATATAAAAACAATACATATATCCTTATATTTGTGTGCATAATTTTCCCTTTATACATACATACATATAGGGAAAATTCCAAGAAGAAATGACGAAAAATCCTCATAGAGTTTGTTTCTGGGAAGTGAAATTACAGAGTAATTTATTAAAATTTCTCTATCTTCATTTTTTAATATTTATTTTAAAAAGTGTGGATTACCTGTGTAATTTGCGAAAGGCAGTTAAAAGTGATTTCTTCCTTTCTGATGAAAAAGGGAGAGCAGTAGGAGGCCAGGTAAGGCAGGGCAGGCAAGACAAAAGAGTTCATGGCAACCTTGTAGCTTGACTAACCAACCAATGTGACTAATTCTCAGTAGTAAATGGGTAGTTTCTTGTGGTAATTTGAAATTCTGCAAAAGGTACTTGTTTTCTTCCATATGGATAATATAAAGAATTCCTTTAGATAAATTTTGTACTTGAAATCTGTATCCAACTGCACCTATTATTATCAGCTTTTGCCAGGACCTGATCTAGATATATTTTCCTATGTAATTTTATTATAATCCTCAGGAACTTCCTGTGAGTTAAGTGGTACTATCTTCAGTTTAAAATTGTGATAACTCAGCCTCAGAAAAATTAATGGAATTTCTTATTGACACGCAGGTCAATAGTAATAAATAGCAGATCTAGCATCTGAACCTAGGTCTTCTGATTCATTCTCTGTTGAGTATTTCAAGCTACAGTGGAAACAAATCTATACATAGTTACACATAATAAAAGAAGAGCTAGATCTCGTAGGGTGATCTAATCATCCCTGTTTACCTGTGACTGTCCCAGTTTAAAAACTGACAATCCCATATACTAGGTACACCCTCAGTCCCAAGGAAACTGGGATGGTTGGTCACTCTAAGAACATGGCTGTCTGAAACAGTAGCCACTAAGCAGAAGTGTCTATTAAGCACTTGAAAAGTGGCTAGTCTGATTGTATTCTGCATGCTGTAAGAGTAATATATGCATCAGATTTCTCCAAAATGTAGCATAAAAAATAAAATATAAAATAACTCATTAATAATTTTTATGTTGATTACATGTTGAAATAAGAATACTTTGATATATTGGATTAAATAAAACATTAAAATTATTTACACCTGTTTCTTTTTACTTTTTTTAATGTGGCCACCAGAAAACTTTAAATTATATGTGTGGCTTGCATTTGATATCTCACATTACATATCTTTTGGGCAGTGCTATTCTGAAAAAACAAAATATATATATAGACATATACAGTGTTAAATTCATATCTATTTAAAACATTTTTGAAAGACTCTTAAGATTCAGTTTTCAAACTTTTAGTCTTCTAAAAGTAGTTTCCCTGTCCAGAATTCATCAAAATTCAATTCTACCTCTTTCGCCTATTCTAAATTAAAAAACTAGCTAAAGTAATAGCTAATGACATAGAACTGTAAGGGAATTCCCACCTCTTCCAAAGTAGGAAAGCTCCCAAAATTCAAATGCTTCTTCCCTGTAACTAGCACAGCAAAAATGGTTACAGGTGCAGATTTTTCTTCTTTTCACCTCTCCTCACTTACCTTGTGTGGCTCAATTACTAAGCTAGTCACCTCAGTATCAATAAACTAAACATGCTATTGGGCTTTGAGAAGAACTCATTCCTCCTATAAAATATAAAATAGTGGTTTCAATTATGTGTGAGCCCTGTAACAAACACTTCTTTGGTCACATTTTTAGCAAGTTAAGAAAGCAAGTCAAATTAATTGTAATAATATCAATATAATTTGCAAAATGAAAATAATATTTTTCTTCTCATGATTGGTACTATGCAATGACAGCTATGTGGAATGATTTGAGAGATAACAGTAATGTCCCAAAGGTTCTATTGCCTCCAAATACCTCCCACTTTAGCCTGGGAATTCCATATTAAGATTCATCCCTTTGAGTCAAGCCACTAATCTCTACTGGCTGCTGTTAGATTTATTCAACAACTCACTAACTCATTCATTCAATATTCTTTTCTCTAAGAGCTAGGTGATGCGAATTCAAAGCATGAAAAATCGAGATGCCTGCTGCCTTGGGATTTCAAAATCTAGTATGTAAATTAAAAATATTATAATTTAATTGATATTACAATCAAGGTTATATCTGTCACTAGGGTGAATTAACCAAATTAAATAGCAGTCACATTGGAGGGCAGATAGTAGGATTCAAAAAAAGTAATACAGTCTTAAGGTTAGGATCACAAGTTCAGGAGTCAAGCAAATCACAATTCTAATTCTGGACATTGCTACTTATGAGATGTGTGAACTTGGGTAAATTATCTAGGCTTTCTCAGTCTCCATTTCTTCAAAAAGGAAAAGTAGTAACTAAATAAGTTTAATAACACCCTGAGCCCTCAACATTGTCTTTGGACACATTGTGTATACTCAATAATGTATGATTTTTATTATTAATGGGTCTAATGAAACCTAAATTTGCTGGAGGGGAAAGGCATGGGCAGATCCATGGATACTTCACTGAGCAGTGAGGGACAACATGAAGAAATTGCAAAATTAGGTGAAGGTAACTCTCAAAAGAGGATAAAAAAGAGAGAGAGGGGGAAAGTGACAACAAGCATCGATATGACCATGTTGCATTCTGTCTGCCTGATTTGATAAAATAATTCTCAAAAAAAAAATTAACACTCTGTTTCATTATTTAAGAATGAAGATTCATTAGTTACAGATAATGAAACAGTTCCGTACAGTTTTTGCATTTATTCACTTTCTGAAGTAAGAAAGGCATCAGCATCTTGTTATCATAGAAAGATGCCAGGACTAGAGGTCATAAATTCCTTTAAAAGGACCGTAATCAGTGTAAAAGCAGAGTGGATTTGCCCTTCTGAGCTCTGGGATATGCCGCAGCAATGTGTGCACATAATCATATTTATAATACAAGTATAAAAAAAGATATTTTAACTGTAATAAATTAAGGCCACTCTGGCTTCCTTTTTGTCATTCTTTCCTTTGTGGTCCAGTGCTGTTGGAGTAGCCACAAGCATTTTGGGGATCCAACTAAGAAGCTGAATTGGGGAAACACTTACTTTTGATTTAGTGAGATTTGTGTGTGTGTGTGTGTGGTTCACAGTCCATTACACACATACATTATGGCTAACAATCCTAGTGTGGGAATGGCTTCCAGAAATGCTCCTACCCATTTTACTGACCGAAGCAGCATTGCAACATAAAAACTCAGGGCTAAGCTTGATAAGAAAGTCTAGCAGAGGCGCAGCTTCCAAAAGGGAATTGCAATGTCATTAGTGTAGCTGGGGCATCTCTACGGGTGGTCCAGACAGGCCTGGTATGTTTAGAAGCTTGCATATCCTGTTCTCTCCCTAGCCTTTTCCTGAGTAGCTTGTCACACACCCAGTGAGGAAGGGACTGTGATGATGACGCTCAGAGCACATTCGAGGTGTCCCGCAGAGTTCATGGAATCACATTCAGCATTAGTATTTCACAGGCAGATTTTCTGGCAGATTTCCTTCAACAAAGAGCTGCTATTCTCAGGAATTTGGAATCATGGTCTTTTCATCCACGAAACAGCATCCATGTGGTCATGTGCAGAAGTGGTTTTCCTTGTGCTCACTCCACCTTTGCTGTGACCACTTCTGAGGTTTGCTCAGTGGTTCCTTTCTGTGATAGTCATGGATTCTAAGAACGTTATGCTAACAGATACACTGAGGTGTTTGATGAGACTTTCTAACTAATAATAACAGATATAAGTTGCTGTTATAGGTTTTCATAATGGGTTGAATACTTTCTCCCTCAAATTCCCATTCCCTGGAAACCTCAGAATGTGACCTTATTTAGAAATAAGGCCTTTGCAAATGTAGCTAGTTAAGGCCATACTGGACTAAAGTAGACACTAAATCCAATGACTGGTTCCTTTATAGGAAGAGAAGTGAACACAGAGAGGAGAAGACCATATGACAACACAGCACAGATTAGAGGGATTGTGTACAAACTGGGAAACACAAACGGTTACTAGGAGCCAACAGGAGCTGGGAAGAGGCAAAGAACGATTTTCCCCCAGAGCCTGCAGATGGAGCATGGCCCTGCCAACACCTTGATATCAAATTTCTACAATCCAGAACTGTGAGGGAATAAATTTCTGTTGTTTTAAGCCATAAAAAAGGAAGAAACACCCAGCACCCAGGGCTGGAATTTATATATTAATATGAACATGTCTTATGGTATCTTGCAATGAAAATATGTGGGTAGTAGGGGAAAGATAAGGTTTAAAATGTATAAAACCAGCAACGAGTGTGTGGAAAATTCTTCCAGTCATCAGCTGTGTACAATTGAATTGGAACATTAGGTTCTCATTGACGCCTAGTCAAAATGGAAGTTCTCTACAGTCAACAGTATGCTTGATATTTCAGTGCACACAATGATAAATGCACGAGATATTCTTTTTGCTCTTTTTGTGGAAAGCAGAAAAAAAAAATGAACTTCTCAGACACCTCTATTTGAAGGATGAAAACAGTAGTAAAAACCGGAAGTTACTTCAGTGCGCAGAAATGCTTGTTTTATGCATTTTGATATATTAGTTCATATTTTACTGTATCTGATTTACCTTACCCTGGCATAGTCTGGTACTTTCAGAGCAAACAATCCACAAAATTGCCACTGATGCAGCAAAAAAATTGCTTGAAAAAGCTAGTGTTCCAATAACAAAGCTAGTGCACACACATGTATCAGTCAACATACAATACAAAATAGCAGCCATTTAAAAATGCATTTAAATTGCTCTTGGTTATGCCTTACTTTAAGGTTAATCTTTTGTATTTCTTACAATTATTGATTATACCAAAATCCATATGTAACAGGAAGTGTTCTAGTAGGAGCCAAAAACATTAACATAAAAAAGACTGGTTAACACTCCAGTCAAAAAACTCTTCTATATTTGTATTTGTCAGGTTTTTACGTTCAAACTTATTATTTATTTTTTCATTCTAAATAAATATTCACTCTCATACCAAATTTATATTTGTAATTTTGTAGTTCTTTCCTTATAGAGAGTCTCTCAAATTGAATACATTTCAGGCCTCACAAAAATCTGGAACTACCTTTATGTAAGGGTGGAAACTGAATGGATTAAAATCATCACATTCATGATGACTTAGGCAAGAAAGTGTAGATTACACTATAAAACACTTGGAAATAACTTAGGTAAGATAGAATTATAGATCCCACAGTTTCTCCTATCATGGTATTTAGAACTCTGAATGAATGGGAAAAGCATATAGTTTAAACTTTTTATTATAAAGTCTTTGAGATTTAGAAAAGTAAGCAACTTGCTTGAGTTAGTGAAATAAGCTGTGTACTAGGTTTGAACTACCGTGTAAGCCTGACATAACCCCTGGCCTAGCATCTGGGAGCTATGGAACCAGGGACAGCTTCACGGATACATGACCTGTGCAGATAGAGTGCCCCCCCCCCACTCTTAGAAGTGTTCTTCGCTGAGTTTAATACCATACTGTCATCGTGAAATTCTTAATAATTTTTGAACAAAGGGGTCCACATTTTCATTGTGCACTAAGCCATAAAATTATGTAGCAGTTCTGTGTAGAGCACAAATGGCCTATTATAATGTCTCATGATGGGTCGAAATGCAGGCCTTTATGCCCACCTGGCTGTCACTAGCTGCAGCTGCCACAAGAAGGACATGACCTCAGGTGAAGAGACACTCTGCAGCTGAGGCCCACCCTGAAGGGGCTGACACCTGGACAACAAGACTTTTCTTAAAGGGAGATCCAGGTAGTATATTGCTGTGTCCAACACAGTCATAACACCCATTTTCTCTATGTGTGTTAACATCTTATCAGAAAACTAAAAATAATTTTCATTGCCCAATTTTCCCCTTCTTCATTATGTGTGTAAAGTTTACCAGAAAGTCTGTCATTTTCCAAAGTCAATGTCTTAGTGAGAAAATTCTTTAGAGAATTCAAATTAGTAGAAAACTGTTTCTTCAGAATTATTTTAATTGTATTTTACAGTTACAGCTCTAATAAGCTCGGTGTATTAACAAAAAAAAAAAAGGATAAGTGCAAATGTTCTTCCATGGTTTGAACATGCCAATCACTTCCACATTAGCCAATATAAAAAGAAAATTTTTAGTCTCTGATTTTTTTAAATCAAATATCACTTAGATATACATTCCAAATAAACTATTTCAGGTAAATATGTATTTTAGAAAGATCTTGAATTTAGAGGAATCTGGAAAAAATCAACATCTGTCATCTTGGTTATAAATGAGAAAATAAATCACCAGCAGTTACAATACTTAAAATTAAAAGCCCAAAACAATATTTTAGCATCTCAGTATCATTTCTGATGTACTGTGGTCTGTGGCAAGATCATGAGCATGAGGCCCATCACCCAGGCCTCCCCATCACTCGTACCCTGATCATTTTTTATAGCACTAATTACCTTCTAACTTATTCTCATTTTTTAGTTTCAGTGCTTATCTCTTCCCTCTAAAATATAAGCTCTCTGAGCTCAGGGTTTTTTATCAGTTTTGTTCACTGTCATATCTCCAGGGCAAAAAGGAGTGGCTGGCCCATAATAGGTGTTCAAATATCAGTTAATGAATGAATGAATAAGTAAATCCATAGAAGGCTATTAAAAATCTTTCTAGAATTGCAACTAAAAATACTATCTGTAAATTCACATTTTCACGATTCACAGAGGTGGAGAGCTGTTATACTGGATCTCAACAGAAATCGAAATCAAAATGATAAGGCAATATTCATACTCTTAAACACTCTGAGTTAGAAAAAATAATTACGGCATAAACCAGTTTGAAGTTCAGCTTTTGTTCATGGATGATTACATCTACTCAGAATCATGCTTTTGTTGCAGTCTAATGGTTATCTTAAATAGCTGAGGAAGGTATAGGAAAGTTATTCTAATTCTTTTTGGAAATGGATAAAGACCTAGATAATTGTATCCTGTGCTGGTAATAAAGCTTGGTTTCTACCTTGCTGCTCAGGATATGATTAAGGTCTTATCATTCACTGATACATAGGAACATAAATCCTTGGGGAAGAGGGGTGGGATGTTAGAATGAAAGGCTAAAATAATAATAATAATAATAACCATGATGTTAACATTAACACTGAAAGCACATATTTGATGTGAAGTCTATATTCAGACATTACAACCTCTTTATTATAAGATAAGAAATGTGACTGAGGTAAGCTTACATTTAGATAAAGGATTGAAGAAGGCACATGGAACTTAGACAGGAGTAGTTCTTGACCCTTGCAAAGAAAGATTTCTTATTCTAATAGATCATGTCCCTAAGAAAAATTCATTCATATTTTTCATATACTTCTGTTATCTACCCCTCACAGGCAGCAAGGGTAGTCAATGGCAATGTTATAAAAGTTAGACTAAAATTTGACAAACTAATAATGCTGGAACCCCACTATAACTGCATTTCTACAGAATGGAGTTTTCTATAATGTGGATCTATTCAAGATTTAAATCTAAGGATATTTGTCTTCTGAAATATGAATGTGTACATAAGACAGTTGTACCACACCCTGAGTCCATTCTGAGTCACAGGCCTGAGGCCTCAAAAAAAAAAATTATAGGGCATTACTAGAATTAAACACTTAAAAATGCATAACATTATTTTAGTTGATTCAGATAAGTCACTATCATTTTGTTGCTGTTTAACTTTTCTCTTATTCTCAAACAGATGCTAATTAGTAGGGTAAATTAGTCTAAATGTGCTTTTGAGTTTAAGCCAGATGTCCACAAATGTTAGTGTACATCAGAATTATCTGAGATGACTGATAAAAGTGGAAATTCTTAGGCCCCTTCCTTAGAGATTCAGATTCAGTAGGATTGAGGGTGTGGTCCACATATTAAGAAGTATTAGAGCACATATATATGTATTTCAAGCTCTTGTTGGTGTTAGAAATCATTTTAGAAACAATACTATGTAGCAAAGATAAGAAATATTTAATGAATAAATATGTTATCAAGTATGATTTTCATAATATATTCTCCAACCCTTGTACGTCAATGAAAAGTATTTTCTATCTCCTGCCAGTGATATCCTCCTATCCAGGAAAGGTGCCAGTTCAGGTTTGTTCTACAGAATTGAAAGAAACAGCTGTGTACTAGCAAATGCCAGAACAGAAATGACCGGGTAATTTCCTTCTTAGGCTACCAAGCAGACTGATCTTCAGAGAAACTAGGCTGGGCACTTGAGAAAGCACTTAAGGGCTTGACTCCCGGCCATTGGACTTTGGCCAAGGCAAACCTGCCTGCTTTCCTCCTCAGAAGGGGCAGTTGTGTTTGTAGTTTAGGAAAGGAAATCACTAATGCCCAGTAGAAAGCCTCCCAGAATCCCAACAGTATAACTCTGTTACAGGCTGAATACAGTATATCACCAAGCAATGAAAAATAGATCTCAAGACTAGAGTAAGCCAGCATTGGTCCTGAAAGCTACTTCATATGAGGCTAATCTAGTCTCTTACGGTGAGAAATTCTCATTCACCCAGTGTGAGTGTTCCCAGGAGTATATTAGAATAATTCATGGATAACATTCAAGGCTATAAATAAATAAATACTAAATTTCAATTAAAAAGGTTAAATATCTGGGTTTTGTCTAAGTCAGTCCAGCTAAAAATGTGCTCCCATATAAATTAGTTTTATAACAAAATATCTTATCTTATGTTCATTAGGCAATAAATTTCTTCAAATGACTTACACAAAAAATCTCCACCAAAATAATTACTGAATGAAGCCATTATGGAAAAGCCAGCTTTTCATCCAAATTTAACATTTTTTTCCTCCTCCAGACTATCTCACTTATAAGAGTTAATGCAACAAAGCCATACACTGAACAGAATTCTATGCAAATAGCTAGCCTGGCCTACACCTGCCTAATCCATATCCACTTCCTTTTTTTCCAAATTCAAATCATTCTCCTCATTCACTGAGTCTCTGTGAACACTAGACCAAGCTAGGCAGTTGGAAGCTCAGAAATAAACCAAGAAGTCTAGAAAAAGCCAATGAACTTGTAGAGGAATATGTGTGTTCATGAAAAGACATGCACAAGAATATTTATAGCAGAACCATTCTTAATAGCCAAAAGCCAGCAACCGCCCACGTGTGTATCAACAACATCGTGGATAAATAAATTTGTGGTTATAGTCATACAGCAATAAAAATGAATGATCTATAATTACACACAATTATGCAAAAATCTTTCAAACATGATGAGCAAAAGGAGCTACATTGTTATTCCATCCTGTATATTTCTATTTATATGAAGTAAACTTTGGTGCTACAATTCATAATAATGGTTAACTTGAGGGGAAGGGATAGATGGTACTGATTGGAGCTGGATACTAGGGGAGTATTCTAAGTTGCTCATAAGATTCTGTTTACTTACCTGTGCCCTAGCTATAAGGGTCTGTTCACTCTAAGCAAATGTATTGTGTGGGTTGTACACAAATTATACACGTACTTTTCTGTATGTACACTATACTTCAATAAAAAGTTCAGTTAAGAAAATTCTGTCACATTGTGATACCTCTAAGAAAAATTACGTAAAATATATTAAATATGAAAATGAGAGATAACAACAGGGAAGGAGGGGTGGTGCCAAAGGAAGCTGAGAGAGAAGAAGAAAAAGATGAAAGGATGCTTTCATAAAAATAACTGCCTGTTTCCTGTTGTGAAGAGGTAAACTGGGGATAAAATCTAAAAAAAAAAGTTTCTTCTCCAATGAGCAAAATGTATGTCAAAAATTAAACACAACCAAAAAAATAAATGACACTGAAGTCCCTGACTAATCATGTAAAAAATAAAGTTAGTTCCCTGTCTTACCCCAGGTAATTTTCCAGAAATAACTTACCATTCCAATTTAGAGAGAGGTAAAATATAGAACAGGATATAATAAAATATGAAAGAGGAAACTATTTTTTAAAACTAGAAAATATGGCTGGGCACGGTGACTCACGCCTGTAATCCCAGTACCTTGGGAGGCTGAGGCGGGCGGATTTCTGGAGGTCAGGAATTCCAGACCAGCCTGACCAACATGGCAAAACCCTGTCTCTACTAAAAATACAAAAATTAGCTGGGCATGGTGGCACACGCCTATAGTCACAGCTACTCGGGAGGCTGAGGCAGGAGAATCACTTAAACACAAAAGGCGGAGGTTGAAGTGAGCTGAGAACATGCCACTGCACTCCAGTCTGGGTGACAGAGTGAGACTCTGTCTCAAAAAAAAATTAATATTAAAAAATAAAAACTAGAAAATACAATTTTGAAGCATGAATAGCAATTCTAAGCATGACATAAGTTTTTCAACTTGAAAAGTCAAAACTTTCTATGCATCCAAAAACCATTAAGTGAAAGTAAGAACATATAAAAAAAAACTGGAGGAAATACTTGCAACTTATATGAAAGGCAGAGTCAATATACTTGATTTGCTAAGAATTCTTAAAAACCAATTAAAATCTTTTAACAGAAAGACAGACAAGAGACACAGCAGGCATGTCACGAAAGAATACAAGTTAATAAAAAATAAATCAACTGCAATGCATATCAAAACAATGAGACATTTTACAATTATAAAACTGGCAAGGAGTTAACACAGAGATATTATGGGGTATATATACTAAAACTATACTGAGGGACAATTAACCAAGCTTAATCAAAACTCTTTATACTGTACATACCACCAGTGGCTCGATGTTGACTCTCAGCAGTCTTCCTAGAGAATCAGAAGCAGGTGGTTTTGTGGTACGAGAGATAGCAGCAACTCTAGGATCCAAAAGCCTAATAAGGCTGCTATTGGGTATAGCACAGATGAGTGGCAGGTGGCCAGAGTTCTCAAGACCTTTGATACAACAGGAGTTAGTTCCTAATGAGGTAAAAATAAAGAAAAATATTCATATCAAACTGACCCAGATGGACTAGTTGAAAAATGGCAATCACCTCTCCCATCTTCAATATAGTGTTTAGTATTATCTTAACCTAAAAAACTCTTACCACAGCTTATTTTTCACAGTCAGACTCTCAGGGAAATCTGTATTCAAATTTGGCCAAACAACAGATTTCTTCTCTTTGTACAGTTTTGCTAAATGAAAAATCTGGTGAGGGCCTGTTTCATTTTCCCATTTATAACACAGAGAATATAATCAGTATTTTGGAGAAAAATAGTTTTTCAGCAAAAAGAGATATTTTCCAGCTATGAAAAATAAGAACATTAAACTGTTTAAAACCAAAGCAAAAAAAAATAAGCAAACAAAAAACACCATTTCATATATATGTTCTAAGTTGAACACAGAATTTGGAGGGTTTTCTGATTTTCTTATTTGTGTGGTTGCCATACTGATTTGTTTTGTTTTGTTTCTTATACTTTTTCACTTGTAGAACAACCAGTGATTTAAATTACATGAGTACAGAACCAATATGTGCTTTCTCTGACTCCTGGGTACAGACTCTGAAGTTGAACTGCCTGTGTTTAATTCCCAGTTCTTCTATTATTAAGCTGCATGACTTTGAGAAAGTTACATATTATTATTTCTGTGCACTAGTTTTCACCTTTACAAAATTGGAAAACAAAGGCAATATGCCTACAATGCTTTTATGAATATTAAATATCATCACATAAACACTTCAGTTATGTCCGGATGCAATAAAAGTGCTTAATAAATAGTATCTGTCATTATGTCTACATCTCCTAGCTATTTTCTCTACTACAGATAAAAATGATAGAGCATGATTTGTTAGCAATGACATTCCCCAAAACTCAGCAAACAAAAGCATATGTAAATAGCAAAACCTAATAGTAAATAGAGGAATGATTGAGGAGTGGCATCAGCAAGATGTAGTAATAAAAAGCACCTCCTTCATCTCACAAAACATCAAATCAATAACAATATATGGGCTAATTCTGTTTATGAGAAATCCCAAAACCAGTTAAGAGGCACCTGCATCCCAGGAGAACACAAAGCCAGCCACATTGAAGCAAGTAGAAGAATTTTTGTCACCCTCTCACCATAGTCCTTCTGCCTGACAGAGCACCATGTGATTGGAGGGAAACTACCAGTTTTGGATTCGATTCTCCCTGGTGAGAGAAAGAGAAGACTAGCCCATACATCCAATGTTCTGACTTCTCAGGGAGGTTTTTGTCTTGCCTGTCTTGGAGCACTGATAACATCAGACATACTCTAGATGCTTGGGGGCCACTGAGAACAGAAAAAGAACTGGGTGTATGCTGCTACTCCAGAGGAACCACAGTATCGCAGACAGAGGCCTCCCCCTCAAGGAGGAAAGAGAAAAGTGGAACACATGTCCAACAGTCCAGCTTTTTGAGGGGCTGCCCAAGGGGCTGGTTTCTTTCTTGAATTTCTGGTAATGCAGATGGGACCTAGCATACTCTAGATGCCAGGAGCCAACAAGAATATAAAAGATTTGAGCGGCATGTTGCTGCTCAGATAGGATGGTCTGACAGCAGGTCAGAGGGCCCACCATAGGATGGCAGACATCAGAGAAAGCAAAAGATTATGAACTTCTGAAAAAAGGAAACTAGCAAATTCTTCTAAACAGAAATCTACACATGCAAAGCCCAGAAAAGACACATCCACAGAAAAACTTTGAGAGGCCTTCAGAATCTCTACTTGGGCCAATTGGTGAAAGTTTTTCTCTATTATAAAGCTAGTTTACAAAGAGTGAGAGAGGTGGTTTGTATTTTCAAATATCCAGACACCAACACAAATGGGGGGAAAAATGGCCCAATCAAAGGAACAAAATAAATCTCCAGAAATTGACCCTAAAGATACAGGTTATGAATTACCTAAAATATAATTCAAAAATAAACATCATAAATAAAGATGCTCAGTAAGCTCATGAAAATAGTGTATGAACAAATTAACAAAACAGCAATAAGTTCTCCTCTATCAGTAATTACTTTAAATGTAAACGGATGAAATTCACCAATCAAAATACAAAGTGGCTGAATAGATTAAACTAAAAAGAAGATCCGACTATGTGCCATCTATAAGAGACTCACTTTAAATGTAAGGCACAAATAACAAAAGAATGGAAAAAGATATTTGACGTAATCGGTAATCAAAACAAAACAGAAGTAGCCATACTTATACAGACAAAATAGACATTATGTCAAAAACTGTAACAAGAAGCAAAGAATATTACATAATGATAAAAGGTTCAATTTACCAGGAAGATATAATTATAAATATATATGCAACCAATATAGAGCACCTAAATACATAAAGCAAATATTGACAGAAGTGAAGGAAGAAATAGACACCAACAATATAAAGTAGGAAACTTCAAAAACCACTTTTAATAATGGATGGAATATCCAGACAGAAGATTAATAAAGAAACAGAGGACTTGAAGAACACTATAGACCTAAGAGACGTATACAGGACATTTCAAGCAACAGACACAGAATATGCATTCTTCTCTCCAGTATAGATCACATACTAGGTCACAAAACAAAACTTAACTAATTTATAAGATTGAAATCATATAGGTATCTCTTCTGATCACAATAGAATGCAACTGGAAATCAACTGCAGAAAGAAAACAAAAATTCACTAAACAACACATTCTTGAACAACCAATGGGCAAAATAAGAACATGAAAAGTGAAATTAGAAAACATTTTGAGACATATAAAAATGAAAACACAACATATTAAAAGTTATGGGATGCAGCAAAAGCAATTCTGAAGGAAGTTTAAAGCAATAAATGCCTACGTTAAAAAAGAAGGATCTAAAGCAACCTAATTCTATACCTTAGGAAGTAGAAATAGAAAAAAAAGCTAAACATAAAGTTAGCAGAGGGAAAGAAATAAATAATAAAACTTAGAGAGGAAATAAATGAAATTGAGAATAGAAAAACCATAGAAAAATCAACAAAATTAATTGGCCTTTTGAAAAAATCAACAAAACCAACACACGTTACACTTGACTGAAGAAAAAAAGAGTGAAGACAAAAAAACTAAAATGGACATCAAAGAGGAGACATTACAATTGATGCCACAGACAAAAAGAATTATGAGAGACTACCATGAACAATTATAAGCCAATTATAGATTATCCAAATTGGATAGCCTAGAAAAAATGGATAAATTCCTAGAAACATATAGCCTATCAGAACTGGATCATAAAGAAACAGAAAAACCAAACAGACCTAAAAACCAGTAAAGAGATTGAATCAGTAATCAAAAACCTCTCCAAAAAGAAAAACCCAGCACCAGAATGGCTTCAATGATAAAACCTACCAAACATTTAAATAATTAGTGGCAATTCTTTGCAAACTCTTCCAAAAAATGGAAGAGAAAGGAACACTTTGAAACCCGTTTTATGAAGCCAGCATTATTCCGATACCAAACCTAGAGAAAGACATCACAAGAAAATAAAACTGTAAGTTAATATCCCTGATGATTTAGATGCAAAAATCCTCAAAAATATATGAGCAAACTAAATTCAACAGTGTATTAAAAGGATCACACTATGACCAAGCGAGATTTATCCCTGGGATGCAAGGATGGCTCATCATATAAATATCAATCAATGTGATTCACCACATTAACAGAATAAAGGATAGAAATCACAGGATGATAGAAAGACATGTACAAAAAGTATTTGGCAAAAGTCAATATCCTTTCAGGATAAAGACTCCACGAACTAGGAACAAAAGGAAATCATCATAACATAACAAGGTTATATACAACAAGTCCACAGTGAACATCATACTCAACAATGAAAAACTGATAGTTTTTCCTCCAAAATCAGGAAAAAAAGCACAGATACCCACTCCTGCCACTTTTATTCAACACAGTACTAGAAGTCCTACCCAGAGAAATTAAGCAAGAAAAAGAAATAAAAGGCATCCAAATTGGAAAGGAAGAAGGAAAATTATCCCTGTTCATGGATGCATGATCTTGTATGTAGAAAATCCTGAAGATTGCACACACACATACATACACACACACAAAAAAAAAACCTATTAGATCTAATAGACAAATTCAGTAAAGTTCCAGGATACAAAAATCAACATACAAAACTAATTGTGTTTCTATGCACTAACAGTGGACAATCTGAAAAGGAAATTAGGAAAACAATCCCATTTACAAAAGGACCAAAAACAATAAAATCCTTAGGAAAAAATTTAACTGAGGGACCAAAAGACTTGTACACTAAAAACTATAAGACATTAAAGAAGAAATTATAAAGGATAAAAATGAATGAAAACATATTCTATGTTCATGCATTGAAAGAGTTAAGATTATTAAAATGTCCATACAACTGAAAGCCATCTACAGATTTAATACAATCTCTATCAAAATCTTAATGACAATTTTTACAGAAATAGAAAAAAATTCTAAAATACACATAAAGCCACAAAGACCCCAACTGGCCAAAATAACTTTGGGAAAGAACAAAGCTGAAGATATTATACTTCCTGATTTTAAAACAAATCGGCTGTATTACAAAGCTACAATAATCAATAGAGTATGGTACTGCCATAAACACAGACATATAGGCCAATGGACTAAAATAGACAACCCCAAAATAACATTAGACATTTATGGTCAAGTGATCTTTGAGAAGGGTGCCAAGAATACATAAGGGGATAAAGATAGTGTGTTTAACAAGTTATGTTGAAAAAACTGGATATTTTCATGCAAAAGAATGAAATTGGACCTTTATCTAATACCATACCCAAAAATCAATGAAAAATTGATTAAACACAATACCTGAAACTATAAAATTCCTAGACAAAAACATAGATAAAAGGTTTCATGACATTGGTTTTTGCCATGATTTGATGGATATGACCCTAAAAACACAGGCAACGAAAGCAAAAATTAAAAATGGGAATACATCAAACTAAAAAACTTCTGCCCAGCAAAGGAAACAAGAGAGTCAAAAGGCAGCCCACAGAATGGAAGACAATATTTGCAAATTATATATCTGATCAAGTATTCATACCCAAAATATATAAAGGATTACATATAAAGGATTCCTATAGCTCAACAGCAAGAAAATAAATGACCCAATTTTAAATGGACAAATGACTTAAATAGATATATATTCTAAGAAAATTTCAAAACAGCTAACAGGTACATGAAAAAATACTCCTCACTAATTATCAGATAAATGCAAATCAAAGCAAAAATGAAATACCACCTCATAAGATGCTAAGATGACCATTATGTTTTTTAAAAATAACAGAAAATAACTAGTGTTAGCAAAGATGTAGACAAATTGGAACACTTACGCACTGTTGGTAGAAATGTAAAATAGTGCAGCCAGGATGAAAACCAGTATAAAGATTCCTTAAAAATTAGAAATAGAGCTACCATATGATCCAGTCAGTTCACTTCTGGATATTTATCCAAAACAATGAAATCAGGATACTGAAGAGATATTTGTATTCCCATATTCATTGCAGCATTTTTCACAATAAGCAAAAGGTGAAAATAACCTAATGAATGGATCAAAAAATGTAGGTGTATACATACAATGGAATATTATTCAGCCACTTAAAAAAGAAAATCCTGGCATATGCTACAACATGGATGAATCTTGGAGACATTATGCTGAGTGAAATAAGCCAGTCAGAGAGGAAAAATACTGCATGATTCTACTTATATGAGGCATCTGAAATAGTCAAACTCATCTTAGCAGAAAGTACAATGGTGGTTGCCAGGAGCTAGGAGGATGGGAAAATGAGGAGTTTCTTTTCAGTCATATAAAGTTTCAGTCATGCAAGATGAAAAACTTCTTAGAAAGCTATTGTATAACAATGTGCTTACAGTAAACAACACACTTAAAATTTTAAGAGGGCAGATCTCAAGTTATATTTTTTTTGCCACAATAAAAAATAAATACATGAAGAAAAGAACTTTAACTTTACCAGGGATAGTAGGAAAATAAGAGAATAAAGAAAGAGAAAGGTAAGCCCCTTCTGAAAGGTGGCCTCAGGAAAATCTGGGACTCTCATTCACACCCGGTGCCTTTGATCCTTTCTCTAAAAATGTTTTACACTGGGGAAAAAAATCCACAACATTGCGTTTAAGGCAACTACATACTGATTCATGTAGATACATATTATGTTCATACAGAACAAGCCTGACCCCCCAGCTTGAGTATCTTTTTTGTCTGATAACTTATGATCATCTGGTAACTTAAGAAAAAAGGACATATGTAGATATATATAGACAGAGATGATACAGATAAAATATTTAATGAATGTGTAGAAGCTATTAGAGCATTTGTGTGTATGTTTCTTATAACTAAAGAAGAATAAAAAGAGAAAAAGATACATTTGTGTTATGTTCTATTTTTCCATTCTCTGTTCCAACAAGACAGTCTTTCTTCATTGAGGAGATTTTGCTGTCTCAGGAGAAGGAAGTGGAGGCCTTTCTCAGATCTTCCTGGGAAAGCTGAGGTGGAGAGGAGTTTGTTGGAGGAATTCAGAGGGTGACACAGCAAGAGAGTAAACATTCCACACGACTAGAAAGGAAGAAAGGTCTCTGTCCTGCTCCATTTGGGCATGGCAGGAAAGTGGCAGGACTTTTAGAATGGTTCCTTGGTGGAAGAGGAGACCCTTCTGGGCCTGAGCATAGAAACAGAAGAGCCACTTGCCTTTAAGTAACTCCAAGGGTTTGAATAAGTGGAAAGTCCTCAGTGACCATGGTGACTCAGACACTCTCCTTCCATTTTCTGGGCACTTCGTAAACCTTCTGAATTTTTGTGCAAACTAGAGACATAGATAAGCACCTGCATTTAAAATTATGAGGTTCTAATTTCCCAGGTGGGTAAGGGACTCAGACTCATATTTTTTTTCTTTAATTGTGAAAATAACGTAATAGGCCATTTCTTCCATACCTCACATCGGGTAATAACATCTATAATCACAACACACAGGAAGCTATTCATGACATAATTATTTTATAAGTGAGAAAGATAGGTTATAAAACACTGTATGATATAAAAGTCAATTTTTGTAAAATAAAATAATATACTGAGTTCCTACAATAGGCCAGGCAATGAGCTGGTTGAGGCAGATTACAGAGGAGTGAGTTTCAGGGAAAAGGTTTTTCTGGAATATGTTTCTCCAGAACAATATATTATTCATTGCTGCTATAGACTGAATGTTTATGTCCCCCGCAAATTCACAGTGCAATCTAATTTTGAATGCAATTATATTTGGAGGTGTTTCCTTTGGGAAGTGACTGGGTGATGAGGAGGAAGCCTTGTGAATGGGATTAGTCCCCCTACAAAAGAGAAGCCAGAGACTTCCCTTGCCCTTTCTCCCATGTAAAGACACAGAAGAAGATGGCCAGCTATGAACCAGGAAGCAGAGCCTCACCAGATGGCACATCTTCAAGTTCCTTGATCTTAAACTTCCCAGCCTTGAGAACTATGAGAAATAAATTTCTTATGCTTATGAGAAATTAAAGGGTGGGTGGAATCACCCCTGAGAAAAATGCTTTCTGCTGAGTGACTAATATTGAAACCTAGTTTAGCCTTCAAAGCTGCTAAGGCCCAGAATCACTGATACATGAATAAAATTTAAGAGAATAAGCAGCTGGATTTCTAGTATACTTAGTTTTCTATTTCAGAGTTTTATCAAAATAGAGCAAGAAAACTTCCATCAAAAGCAAGCATGTAGTAATAATAGTCTCAGCACCATCAATACATATGGTCATTATACAGAGGGTACAAATCATTGTTTTCCTGTTGGCATCTGTGTCTTTTCTCTCACTGCTTTCATTTTGTTTCTAGGTAATTGAAGGCTGAGATCCAGGAAAGATAAACAGGGTTTTAAATGCTTCCATTAAAGAATAAAGTTATTATTGTTTCCTAAATCAAAGCTACATGTAGCCACAAGTTGAGGTAAACAATGACAATTAAAAATAAGACATTAACATTTCTACTTCCTGTAGCTGCTTGTCAATAAATGTAAATGCTGTAAATAGTCAACTAGAATTGAGACCCAAAGAACTCTAAAAAGTAGTCACCAGAAAAGCAAATGTAATTAGATACTATAGGATCGTTAAATACAACTTTGTTACTACAGCTTTACCTTGGTATTTGAAAAAAAAAAGTTAAACAATATTTTTCTTTCAACTCAATATTTTCTTTAATGGAGTTTATTCCATTGTTTTATTGTTGGAAGAAGTGTACAGATGGTCCTGACTCACAATTGTTCAAATTAAGATTTCTCAACTTTATGATGATGCAAAAGTGATATGCCATCAGTAGAAACTGTACCTCAAATTTTAAAGCGAGTCACAGCTCCCAGTCAGCCATGCAATCACGAAGGTAAACAACCAATACAGTGTGCTGTGTTACCAGAATTTTTTGGATATTGTGTTTCTCATGCCATCAGGGCTACAAAATGTCAATTTTTGACTTACAATATTTTCCAGTGGCAATGGGTTTATCACCACATACCCCCATTGTAAGTCAAGGAGCATATGCATTTGCTCTTTCAGTCATCTTATTTTAATGATTGTTTTATTTTTGCTTCTTATCTATTTTCTTTGTTTTCTCTCTTCTATTTGATGGTCTATATTACCTGTGATATCTACTTTCAGCATATTATAAATCGTGTGTTCTGTTTTTAGTTCCACTAGTGTTTACCTTTGTATCTTTTATAACATTGATTAAGCATATACTTGTCAGTTTATCAAGTTCAAGAATGAAATAACATCTATTAACTTCCTCCTAAGTAAATTGCAAACTATACATCCTCAGCCTAGTCCCATTCCACTACACACACCCTAGTTTTTGTTTTTATACTCTGTAATTTTGAAATCATTATTATGGTATTATTTTATTCAAGAATTTTAAGGAATTATATTTCCCTTTTATTAGATTCATTTCTATGTTTACATAAACTCAAAGCCCACCATCAGCTTTTTCACACCATGAATTTCCCATTCAAGAATACTTTATTTTAGTTTTTCCATATATTGGCTGAATCGCATATTTAAATGAAGATTTTGGTAATGTAGTTACATAAGTAGTATATTTTCCTGAGTCGTTGGATACATAAAAATATTTTCTTGTTGACTTTACATAGAGTTGACAGCCTGGTTACATAAAGAATACTTGGATTAAACCATTCTTCTCTGAAAATTCAGTAGAGGATGCCTCCTGGTCTTCTGAGAGTACAGCAGGAGGTGAAGAGCACAGGACCTAGAATCATGTAAACATCTAATTTTAGCTCCGCTAATTACTTGCTAGACCTTTGCAAATTACATAATGCATACTTTTACTTAGTTTCCTAAATCTCATTGTTCTTATCTGTAAAATGAGACTATTCCTTACTTCCCAGGTTTAAGGTAAGGAATTAATGGCATGATCTATATTAGTGCTAATAAAAATATAGTGTAAACCACATTTATAGTTTTAATTTTTCTAGCAGTCACATTAAAAAGGTAAAACTAATTTGGATATTTATAATTTAAATAAAAATAATAATTATACTTAACCCAATAGGTTCAATAATATACATCATTTCAACATGTAAAACATTATTGAGATATTACATTCTTTATTATACTGAGAATTCTAAATATAGTGTATATTTTATACTTATACCATATAGCTATACCATTCAGTTATAGCATTTGCATGTCACATATATCAATTTGGACTGCCACATTTTATGTCCTCAGTAGCCACATGAGTCCAGTGTCTGCTATACTGGAGAGGGCAGGGCTACATACTATGACTCAGTAGAGTTTCTGGCACACACATTCTCTAAATAGTACATATTTTTAATTGTTTTAATGGCATAGAGGAGAACTATCAGAAAAATCTCTCTTACTTTCTTACTAAATCATCTGTTCCTTCTGCCTAAATAAATATATGCAAGAGTCTTCATTATTTTTTCATGTTAAGAAATGTTTATTAGTAAACTTTTTATTGCTATAGAACATAATATTGAAGAGAGCAAAAATCATGTTTCACCCAAAGGATAGTCACAAAGTGAACATGTAATCAACACTCAGATTCTTAGTCTCCCTAGGTGACTTCAAACATTATGATGTTTAATTTCACCTAGTTTTGAACTTCCCACAAACATAAAGATGCAATATGTGTCCTTTTACATCTTGCTTCTTTTAGTCAGCATTATATCTCAGCCATATTGTTGCATATGTTTTTTGGAATATAATTCCCATTTTTTGTAAAGTAATCCATTGTATGAACATACCATAATTTATTTATTCACTGTTCCATTCGACTGCTCTTAGACTTTTTAGCTCCTAATTAATTCCAGTTTGGAGCTCATGCAGAAAAGAGTTAACATAGCAGGCCATACTGCTATCCCTAGACAAGGCTGCACCTACTGTTGGCCCTTGACTAGCATGTAAGAACTTGGATTTTGGAGTAAGTAACTAGTAATAGTGTCTCATTGTGCCCAAATGGTTTGTAGAAACAATGTGGTTTATGCTGAACACCTGCTTTCCTTCTGGGAGTCTGGAATTCTGCTACGTTCCAGGCAGAGGCTGCATATTTGTCCATCCCCCAATAAAAAAAAAAAAACACCTGAACACCAAGTCTCTAATGGGTTTCTCTGGTAGACAGCATTTCACATGTGTTGTCACAACTTGCTGTTCAAGGGATTAAGTGTGTCCTGTGCGATTAATTGGGAGAAGACTCTGGGAACTTGCACCATGTTTCCTCTGGATTTTGCCCCATGAGTCTTTTCCTTGCCCTGATTTTACTTTGTATCCTTTCACTGTAATGAATCATAACCATGAGCATGACTCTAGTTGTGCTGAGTCCTGTGAGTCCTATAAATCATCAAAACTGAGTTGTCTTGGCAATATCTGACACAGGGCCATTACAAACAATGTTGCTATGAATATTCTTGCACATGCCTGTTGGACAATATATGTGAAATATATATCGCAGAGTAGAATAATTGGGCAATATGGTATGAATATGTTCATCACTACTAAATATTGACAAATAGTTTTCCAAAGTGGTTATATTGATTTACAACTCCTATCAATAATTGATGAGAGTTCTAGTTGCTAAACATCCTCTCCAACACTTGACATTGTCATTTTAGCCAGTCTGGTGGGTGTAGAGTGGCATCACATTTTGGTTTTAATTTGCAATTTACTTGATGACCAAATAAAGTTGAGATCCTTTTTATAGGTCTATGGGCTACCAAGATATCCCCTATTGTGAAGTGTCTATTCAAGTCATTTGCCAATGTTTCCACTGGGCTATCTGACATTTTCTTACTGATGTGCAAGCATTCTTTAAGTATTATGGATATGTAAGACCTTTATATATATAAGTATTCATATGTGTGTCAAATACATGACAAATAAACTCCCACTCACTCTTTTAATGATAACTTATGATAATAAGTTCTTAACTTTAATGTAGTTTAATTTATCAATGTTTTTCTTTATAGTTAGCAATTTGTGTATCTTGTTTAAACAGTATGTATTACTCCAGAATCACAAAGATTTTATTCTCCTATTCTTCTAAATGCCATACTTCATTACCTTTTACATTTAGATTAGAAAGGATTCTCTGTCTGTTGTAAGGTCTTTCTTTTTTCTTGAAGCCCGATAATGCCAGGATCTGGCTCACAATTGAGTATTACTATTTTTATCTGGAATCTGGTTTACTCTTTTGATCTAGAGGTTTACTGTTTACCTCAGTTCAAGAAAGATTTTTTTAAATGTATACCTTAATAATTTCCTATTCCAGTTGCAATTGTTTTTTTACTTCAGGAACACTATTTCCTCCACCATATATGCTTTATTTGTTAGTATTTTTTTAGAAGTTATGCCACCCTTCCCATTTTATTCTTTTATTGTTCTTTCAATTTTATCTCTTATTTCACAGAGTTTACAAAAGAGGATAAGAATAAGGTCTTAGAAATGATAATTTTGTAAGACAATAACAGCAAAAAAAAAGACAGCTGGGCTCAAGCAAATGAATATAGTAGTCAATATTGCTGGTAAAAAAAGATTTTCTTAAATTATACATGAAATGATACACATAATAAGTGGCAAAGGAATTCATAGGACTGAGGAATGACATTGGTCTAGGGTAATTAAGAAATGCACCTCAGAGAAGTTAATGAGTTTGATGATATATAAGTAGAACATTACTGTGGTAAAAGCTAAAATATGCATAATTGCTGATATTATAGTGATTTTGGCAATATATCCAACCACTATAGACCAAACAAATTTGCAATGACAGACTGTAAGTGTGTACTTTTAATAATAAATGCAAATATAAATTTTTATTTGGCACAAATTTTCCATTTGTTCATAGAAATTTATGAAACTCAAAAAACAACAATTAAATGTGGCGAAGTAATTATAACTCTACATTTGATGAACTTTGGATTTCCTTGACACTATCTCAAGGCTCAGTTTTGTGTTCAATAAACTTAAAAATCACCATTTATATTTTAGAACCATTTTATAGCTTTTATCGGATGGGAAAATAGAGCTAATCTTAATCAGTATTTTCACAGAACAAAATATTTCCATCATAATTGAAATTGTCCATGGGTCTTGGGAATATAATATATTTGCGAGCTATTATAGTTTGCATTCAACATCAAAATAAATATGTATAAAACAAAATTTATTCTAATTTTCTGAAATAGCTTCAGCTATGTTTCTCCTCTTCTGTTTGAGAATTTTGCATTGCTCCAATAAAAATGTGATAAATATGTCATAAATATGAGTATGTTGGTTTATTTCTCTCTTGATGTTTTAAAATGCAAATGAGGCAGACAGCAGGACATCTCCAAAGAGATCCCACTGAGCATCGCCATCTTGTTAATTAATCACTTACCAGGAACTAGACCTCCATTTTGCAGCCTCAAAGACCTGATCTTTCCTGTACATTGAAAATGGATCATGAACCTGAAGCATTAATTCAAAATTCAAAAGGATAAACTTCCAGTAGGAAATAAGATTCTAAACAGAACTAGAATATTTGTTATGTATCCCTAAGAAAATACAATATATTAGTCTGTTTTCATACTGCTATATAAAGAACTGCCTGAGAGTGTATTAGTCCATTTTCATACTGCTATAAAGAACTGCCTGAGACTGGGTAATTTATAAAGGAAATAGGTTTAACTGACTCACAGTTCAGCATGGCTGGGGAAGCCTCAGGAAACTTACAATCATGGCAGAAGGCAAAGGGGAAGCAAGCCACCTTCTTCACCAGGTGGCAGGAAGGAGAAGAGCTGAGCAAAGGGGAAAGAGCCCCTTACAAAACCATCAGATCTTGTGAGAACTCACTCACTATCACAAAAACAGCATGGGGGAAATGGCCCACATGATCCAACTACTCTCCACCTGGTTTCTCCCTTGACACGTGGGGATTATGGGGATTCTAATTCGAGATAAGATTTGGGTGGGGACTCAAAGAAACCAAGTTATAATCAGAGGTCAGGTTTTAAAAAGGGTAATAATTACTTAGAAAAATAAAATATTTATTATACTCTGTTTAAAATACAATTAGGTATTCTTTTTACACAGAAAATAAAAATTCAAATGCTTTAGAGGCTAGGCAGGTAATATGAGTTAGCAAAGTCATCCCAAATGAACTTTGGTCAACTGAAGTGCAACCAAGGTGTTTACAAAAGGAACTACCAGATATTCAATTCTAGCTGATCATCATCACAGGGAGTGTAGACCCAAGTGTTGACAGAACTTCTGATTTTTTAAAGAGACTCTGGAACTTTACATTTTTAATGTTTATCTTCAGATTTTTTTAATGTTAATAATTATAATAGAATAATGGCCTCACAAAATGCCCCTGACCTATTCCCAGGAACCTGTTACCTTGCATGCCAAAAGGGACTTTGCAGATGATCAAGAACCTTGAGATGGAAAGATTATCCTGTATTCTCCAAGTGTGCCCAGTGTAATTCCAAAAGTCCTTACAAGGGGCAGAGGGAGGCAGGAGGAACACAGTGAGGGAAGGGGACATGGTAACAAAAACAAGGGTCAGAGTCAGAGAGTGCGATCTGAAAATGCAACGTTTCTGGCTTAAAAAACCAAACACCGCATATTCTCACTCATAGTTGGGAATTGAACAATGAGAACACATGGACACAGGAAGGGGAACATCACACTCTGGGGACTGTTGTGGGGTGGGGGGAGGGGGGAGGGATAGCATTGGGAGATATACCTAATGCTAAATGACGAGTTAATGGGTGCAGCACACCAGCATGGCACATGTATACATATGTAACTAACCTACACATTGTGCACATGTACCCTAAAACTTAAAGTATAATAATAATAAAATAAAATAAATAAAAAAATAAAGACAGAAGAGGGGGCCACAAGATAAGGAATGCGGGAGGACCTAGAAGTTAGAGAAGACAAGGAACTGATTGTCCCCTAGCATCTCCAGAAGGAACAAAGCCTGCTCATACTTTGATTTTAGCCAGATAAGACACATTTCAGACTTCTTCCTCCAGAAATGGAAGATAATAACTCTGTACTGTTTTAAGCCACTAGATTTGTGGTCATTTGTTATAGCAGTGTTAGAAAACTAACACAATATTTTAAAAAACAACAAAAACCAAAAACCAAACAAGTCAAGTTAATGATATACGTGAGCCAAATTCAGCTTTAGGCCTTAAATTTAGTATATTTGAAGAAAATACTGAAGGTAGCCTTACCAAAAAATGCCTTAATTGGGTCAGGCTGCTATAACAAAAGCCGTTGGTGGCTTAAACAGCAAACATTTGTTTCTTATAGTTCTGGTGGCTGGGAAGATGAAGATCAAGATGTCAGAAGATTTGATTCTTAGCAAGGGCCCTCTTCATAGCTTGTAGGTGACCACTGTCTCACTGTATTCTCACATGGCAAAGAGAGAGAACACTTGTGTCTTTTATAAGGGCATGAATTCCATCATGAGGGCCTCATCCTTGTGATCTAATCTAACCCCAGTTACCTCCCAAAGGCTGCACCTTCAAATACTATCACACTGGGGATTAGGACTTCAACGTGTGAATTTTAGGGCTACACAAACATTTACTCTGTAGCAGACAGTAATGTTTAAAGTATTGGATAACTTAAAATGAGATCATGCCTGTAAAGTCCAGGGATGATGCTGTCAGTGTTTTATGTCTTGACTCTGCTTTTTCCTTTCTGAGTTTCTCTACCCAATCAATTCCTCTTGTGATTGCCTGATCCATGTTTTTCACCAGTCCTATTGGCCCAGTAGTCCCCCAGTGTCTTTAAGACAGTTCTGCAGGTCTCTTTTCCAAACCTTTACATGTTATTTTCATAATATAATCTTCAGAGGAATAAATCTTACTTTATCTCCAGGTTCTCAGAGGAAGCTTCATGGTGGCTCTCAAGTGCAATCAATAAAATCTAAGACATAAAAGGAAAATCTAAGACACAAAAATGTGTTCATAAAATAGACTGCAAGAATAGAACCATATTAATAACATTTTTTCTTTGCTACTCATTGGGATTTGTTCCCACAAATTGGACTTCAAACTTCCAAATCTAATCACGTATTATTTTATCATTAAAACCAAACAGCTTGCCACGCAAAGTTAATGTGTTAAATCCTTTTCATTTTCATCTTCAATCTTCTATAATGTTCAATAGTGCCCTGTTTTATTTCACATCAGATATAATCAACAGACCCCACCACATATCCTCATTATTCTCTGACAAACAACACAGCACTTGTAGACCATCTTCCCTTTTTTCCCTTAATTACTATTTTTTTTGTAAACTTATTTTTCAACTATTTAAATTGAATGAACAACTACCTATTGGGTACAACATTCACTATTTAGGCAATGGGCACACTAAAAGCCACTAGACAATATATTGATGTAACAAAACTGCACTTGTACCCCCAGGATCTATAAAAATAAAATAAAATAAATTGAATGAACATTGCTCTGTGTTACTGAAGATTCCTATTTGATTTACTTTCTCTACACACAAGCATTTGAATGGATTTTCCACGATTATCCTATTGTTCAACAATTATGCCTGGGCAACGTATTGAGACCCCATCTCTACAAAATAAATAAAAAAATTAGAAGGGCATGCACCTGTAGTCCCAGCTATTTGGGAGGCTGAAGTGGGAGGATCACTTGAGCCCAGGAGGTTGAGGCTGCACTGAACCATGATCACACCCCTGTACTCCAGCCTGGGTGACAAAGCAAAACGTTGTTCGAGAAAATAATAAAAATATTTTTCCCAATATCCTTTATTCTCTTAGCTACTACATTGATTGTCCTATGACTAAAGGTTAAGAAATAAAGTAGTTGGGTCCAAAGCTGAGTGATATTTTAAAGATTATTGACCATTATTGCCAAGTTAATTCCACCAAACTATACTCATTTGCACTGGTACTTTGCTGGTACCAGGTATTCTCCCCTACCCAACCTTTGCTAATTTGGCAGGCCCCAAATGGTATCCCATTTTATGTACTTTTCTTTGACCACAGTGAGGGTGAACATTTGTTCAAATGTTTATTGATTATTAGTATTTTATCTGAAAAGTGCATGCTTGAGCCCTTTCACACTGTTGTCTATTGGGGTTCCTCTTTTTCTTATTGACTTATAAAGACATTTAAAAATATATACAGCCTATTAGCCTTGTCATATGTATAGTGTGAACATTTTTCATCTCCATTTTTATTTTGTTTATAGTGGGGTTTCAGAAAACCATTTGATACCTTTGTGCTTTCTGGCATGTCTTAATTTTCCTGTCACTGACACAGCATTAGATACTTACTATTTATTAAGTAGCTTCTATACATAAAACATTTTTTAGGTGTTTTACACACATGGCCGTTAATATTTGTAAATAACCCTGTATGGTAGGTACTGTTATTTTATAGATAAGGATATCAAAGCTTAGAGAGGGAAGCTGTCTTGCTCACAGCTAAATAGCTAGTAATTGGCAGGATTTAAATACAGTTCTAGCCAACATGAAGCCCTTCTTCTTTTTACTGTATAATATGCCTTACACACACACACATGACCTTCTGGTTCCTGCTTCACTGTACTCACCCAAGTCATGACTCTCTAACCTAAAACCCCATCTGCCCAAACCCTATCCATTCTTCATGGTCTAACTCAAGTTTTGCTTCCTTCCATTCAAAGATATACTGTTTTGTGTGTGAGAAAGACCATGATATACTGTAATGCCAAAAATGTTAAGTTACCACATGATATTAAGTATAAACTATATTTTCAAACAAAGTATAAAGTGGGAAGTTTGATAAATTAATGGAGCAGGCTGAACTTCATGGTGTGAGGAATAAACAGGGGATAAGGAAAGAGTCTTTGAAAAGGAACCTGTCAGATGATCTTGGGAAAGCTGACTACAGATCTCTCAGTGCTCAGGAACTTCGAGGGTAAGTAGGAAGGGGCAGCCTAGCCAGTCCAATCCCTTGCTGGTTACTCATGGAGTCAGGGTACCAAATGGGGATACCAGAATAGATGATCAAAAAAATTTCCTGACATCAAAGTCTGCACTATTTTGATGGGTTGGATGGAGGAGTAGATAATAAAAAAACAGTGAGCCTCTGAATGGACCAAGAAAATATCACCACTTAGGAAGGGAAAGGCAAAGAAAAGAGCAGCTTAGGAATGTTGAAGCCAAGTGAGTGATGAACAATCCTTTTCTATTTGGTAAGAAGAAAAGAGAGTAGAAGAACACTGGAAGCTTAAAGGAAGAAAAAGAATGAAGGAAGAAGGGAAGAAAGGGAGGGAGAGAGGAAGGAAGACAGAAGGTGATTATCATTTTTAAGTTCAATCTAGAAAAAATCTAACACTGAACTATGGAATTTGTATTAGTTCATTTTCATGCTGCCAATAAAGACATATCCAAAACTGGGTAATTTATACAAGAAAAAGGGTTTAATGGACTTACAGTTCCACATGGCTCAAGAGGTCTCACAATCATGGCAGAAGGCAAGGAAGAAGATAGAGAGCTTGCACAGGGAAACTCCCATTTTTAAAATCATCAGAGCTGGTAAGACTTATTCACTATTATGAGAACAACATGGGAAAGACCCACCCCTATGATTCAACTACCTCCCACTGGGTCCCTCATACAACACATGGGAATTCAAGATGAGATTTGGGTGGGGACACAGAGCCAAACCATATCATTCAGCCCCTGGCCCCTCTCAAATCTCATATCCTCACATTTCAAAACAATCATGCCTTCCCAACAGTACCACAAAGTCTTAACTCATTTCAGCATTAATTCAAAAGTCCACAGTCGAAAGTCTTATCTGAGACAAGGCAAGTCCCCTCTGCCTACGAGCCTGTAAAATCAAAAGCAAGATAGTTACTTCCTAGATACAATGGAGGCACAGGCATTGGATAAATACGGCCATTCAAAATGGGAGAAATTGGCCAAAACAAAGGGGTTACAGGCCCTACACAAGTCTGAAATCCAAAGGGTGGCTTGCACCCTCTGAAGCCACAGCCTGAGCTCTACATTGGCCCCTTTCAGCCACAGCTGGAGAAGCTGGGACACAGGGCACCAAGTCCCTAGGCTGCACACAGCATGGGGACCCTGGGCCAGGCTCATGAAACCACTTTTTCCTCCTAGGCCTCCAGGCCTGTGATGGGAGGGGCTGCCACAAAAGTCTCTGTCATGCCCTGGAGACATTTTCCCCATTGTCTTGGGGATTATTATTTGGCTCCTCATTACTTATGCAAATTTCTGCAGCTGGCTTGAATTTCTCTTCAGAAAATGGGATTTTCTTTTCTATCACGTTGTCAGGCTGCAGATTTTGCAAAATTTTATGCTCTGTTTCCCTTTTAAAACTGAATGCCTTTAACAGCACCCCAGTCACCTCTTGAATGCTTTGCTGCTTAGAAATTTCTTCTGCCAGATACCCTAAATCATCTCTCTCAAGTTCAAAGTTCCACAAATCTCTAAGGCGGAGGCAAAATGCTGGCAGTCTCTTTGCTAAAACATAACAAGAGTCACCTTTGCTCCAGGTCCCAACAAGTTCCTCATCTCCATCTGAGACCACCTCAGCCTGGATTTCTTTGTCCATATCCCAACCTTTGCTCCAGTTTACAACAAGTTCCTCATCTCCATGTGAGACCAACTCAGCCTGGA
Source organism: Homo sapiens (assembly GCF_000001405.40). Taxonomy (NCBI): domain Eukaryota; kingdom Metazoa; phylum Chordata; class Mammalia; order Primates; family Hominidae; genus Homo; species Homo sapiens. The sequence continues at coordinate 189,244,601 of NC_000002.12, forward strand.
TTTAATTGTCCACATTATTATCAGCATTTTGGTCAAAGTCATTCAACAAGTCTCTAGGGAGTTCCAAACTTTTCCACATTTCCCTGTCTTCTTCTGAGTCCTCCAAACTGTTCCAACATCTGCCTGTTACCCAGTTCCAAAGTTGCTTCCACATTTTTGGGTATCTTTTCAGCAGCGCACCACTCTACTGGTACCAATTTGCTGTATTAGTCCATTTTCACTCTGCCAATAAAGACATACCTGAGACTGGGTTACTTATACAAGTTATAAGGGTTTAATGGACTTACAGTTCCATGTGGCTGGAGAGGCCTCACAATCATGGCGGAAGGCATGGAGGAGCAAGTCATGTCTTAGATGGATGGCAGCAGGCAAAGAGAGAGCTTGTGCAGAGAAACTCATATTTTTAAAACCATAAGATCTCATGAGACTTATTCACTATTACAAGAACATTAAAAGGAAGACCCACCCCCATGATTCAGTTACCTCCCACTGGGTCCTTTCCACAACACATGGGAATTCAAGATGAGATCTGGATGGGGACACAGCCAAACCATATCAGGATTCATGACAATAATGTTTCTTATAATTTATAACAATTCCAGGTTTCTTGAGAGCAGTGTTCACGCTTTTTTTTCTATTTGAATAATTCAACAGGTCACAATAGAACCATAATATAGCAGTATTTCAAAAAAAGATGTTACTTCTTTGGTTTTACCCACTCCAGGCACAGAAACTTACTGTAACAGTTAGATAAAATCTAATATCTGGAAAAGGTGCTTTAAATCAAAACTTAGTGATAGTTAATTTAAGATGATTAAGCTCAAACTATGGTATGCCTACTATATCTGTTTTATTTTAAGATTAATTAAGGTATACTCAAAATTTTTTTTTTTTTTTTTTTTGAGATGGAGTCTTGCTCTGTCGCCCAGGCTGGAGTGCAGTGGCGCGATCTCGGCTCACTGCAAGCTCCGCCTCCCGGGTTCACGCCATTCTCCTGCCTCAGCCTCCCGAGTAGCTGGGACTACAGGCACCTGCCACCGTGCCTGGCTAATTTTTTTTGTATTTTTAGTAGAGACAGGGTTTCACTGTGGTCTCGATCTCCTGACCTCGTGATCCGCCCACCTCGGCCTCCCAAAGTGCTGGGGATCTATCACATTCTTAACTGCAATATGGTCAAGGGAGATTTTTAAAATCCATTTAGCTAAGAAGATTGTTCACCATTTGGTAGAGTAAGAGTTGAAACTGTGTTTCTTCTATTGATGTCATTACAACTTTTGTTTAGTACAACTCTTCTGGCTGGAGAAATTCATGGTATATGATGTTGAACTATTTCACAGCTAATATTGTGGAAGCCACGAAAGCACTCAGTTTAATGATAAAAACAAATTAGACTTCCATAAGCACAGGTTTGTTGACATTGTCAATTTTACTTAGGCACCATTGCAAATACTCACAATTTCATATTTGGTTATTGTAAACAGAAATACGTTATTTTATCTCTGAAAAAAAACATATATTTCAACCTTCCTAGAAAAAAGTATGTAATGTGGAACTTTCCAATCATTCACCAATACATGAAAAATTCAGTTCTCACCCAGAATTACAATCCAGATTATGACACGTTACACATTAGTAAATTACTCATAAGTTCTAGTTGGATATCTTTGTTTCACAGAACAATTTATTAGGAAAAAAAAAAAGAATGTGATAGATCAAAGCGTGGCCAAAGGGAGAAAGATTATATCTGTAGAGAAATAAAGAAAAGGCATAGATCTTTGGGACATTATACTTCTGGAGAATGCCAATATTGAAAGACATCAATTGATAAAAATTAAGCTTTGAGAAATTTCCTAAAGAATGTCTGAGAATAAAAACTATCCCAGTGGCACATGTGACATTCCAATAAATTAACCATGCTAGAGGTAACGCTGAGAATTTTAGCAAATGGAAATAGGTGATATCCCAGTAGCACTTAGCTACATACCTTGACTATAAGAGGCTGAGAAACCTCATAGAAAAGAAATTGAACTCTGTTCATATTTGGGTTTTAGTTATATACAGATGTGACAGACTGCAGTGTGAGAACGTGGTAAAATGTAATTGGAGCCAAATAATGGGCATACAGAGAGCAGGGTTCCCTTGAGAAAAAAATCAGCATAAATGGGGAATACGTTTGGCACAATGAGCCAGATACAGCAAAACATCTTAGTGGGGAAAACTGGTGGTTGAAGACACAGCCTGAAGAAGTGTTTGAAGCCATAAGACTCAGCCCTCTGGACTGAGGAGAGCTGCCTATGGTCTTTGAGAAAGAGAAGACTGTGTAATAACCTGAAACAACACTATTGCTTCTACCCAAAGTTAATGAATTTTAAAATTTAAAGAGCTACATCAAACCAATTCTTCTGAGGAGTAATAACTGTCCCTCTACTTCCACACAGAACAAAAAAAGCAAGATTGAGATGGAGGAAACGTTTCTGTCAGATAAAAGAGATTACCTTGGATCTGAGACAGGTAGAATGGTGATGAGGTCCAAGCACAGGTAATAGAGAAAAAACGGCCATGGACCAGTTGTGGCCTAAGAAGAGAACACTGTAGATGGTGCAAGAAGTGTAAAAGTGAGGAGCAAAGTGATGGATGCCAACAGCACAAGTAGATGGCAGGTACAAAAGTAAAGGTGCAGGGATACAGAGTGGATTTTAAAATGTACATTAATACATGCTTATGTTAATAGGTGCTGTGTACCCCATCCTTTCTCCCCAAAAGAAGCCCTGTGGTTAAACAGGATTGTGAAACATGCACCCATAACTCCCCTTCAAGATTCACAACACATATTTGAGTCCGAAAAGTTCCACACAGAGAAACCCAACATGACCACATTTATTTTCCCCTGGGGCACTCTTATTTGCAGCATGCTCACTGTCACACTGAGGAACAGATTACATGGCATACCAGGTTAGGAAGTCTTTTTCAAAAAAAAAATTTCTTTTTTTTTTTTTTTGAGACAGAGTCTTGCTGTGTTGCCCAGCTGGAGTGCAATGGCATGATCTCAGCTCACTGCAACCTCCACCTCCTGGACTCAAGTGATTCTCATGCTTCAGCCTCCCCAGTAGCTGGGATTACAGGACCAAGCTTCCACACCCTGCTAATTTTTGTATTTTTAGTAGAGACAGGGTTTCACCAAGTTGGTCAGGCTGGTCTCTAATTCCTGACCTCAAGTGATCCACGCATCTCAGCATCCCAAAGTGCTGGGATTACAGGCATGGGCCACTGCACTCAGCCTAAAGTTTTTCAAGTTTTAAAACTACCACAATATAGCAAGCAACTCAATGTATTAAACAATGATAGGTTCTTAAGAAATGTTTCATGAATATTCAAAAGCTTTAAAGTCAATACATGTTCTAATTTTTCTAGAAATAAAATTGTTACTAATTCACATGGAAATACTTTATACCCAAAATAGTTTAAGCTACACATTTTAAAAACATAGTTCTTACTACTAGCTCTAAAATATTCATAAAAAGGGAAGGTAAGTATTCAAGCCACAAAACGTTATAGTTTCTTTGATAATAGCAATGTGCTTTTTTCAGTGTCACAAATTAGTAGTTTTCATTTGTTAGATACAGCTGCATATTTCATAATTTATATTTGTGCAACAAAGTCTGGCATTTCAGAGAAGTTTCCCTTATCTACAGTTATTTCTATGTTTTAAAAAATTGGAGAAGAAACAGATGTTGAATAATGAAATTTATTTTAAACTATTTTAGAAGTATTTGGCAGCAACTACTAGAGTATTAGTAAGAGAACAGTGCTTGTAAAAATGGCAAGTTTATTTTGCATGTACTTTCTTGGAAGAAAAATAATTTAAAATGAAACAAAGAAGTATTATCAAATGTGTATCATAGAAACATTTATTAATAAGGAAAACAACTTTCAGTAAACACTGTATTTCATCATCATGAGTTTGAGTCCATAAAACTCTGTGCATCCATTCATAGATACAATATATTGAAGAAAAAACTACAAATTCTTTCTGCTTTTTGTAATATGTGGCTTTTAAAAATAAGCCTGGTGATTTTATCCTTTTTTCCCTACCTTTGAATTTATACTACAGCTTTCAAATTAACCCTACTTCAGAAAATAGACTAATTCATGACCCAATATTCTTCTGCAATGATTTCTGAAAGATTTTGTGGTTTGAATAATAATTCAAGTTTCTGGAACTATCTGGCCATTTTGCATATGTTCATTTCATTCTTGGTCAACGTATGTTTCTACATCATTAATATAATTTTAAAGTATCCACAAGGCTATTTTTGTGGCTATCTTAAGAGATAATTCCAATAAATAGGAGGTGGTTATATTTCAAATGATTTGGGATAAATTAATAGTTGGCTTAACCCAAAATTGTACAATTTTTTAAAATTATTTGTAACAAGATTAGCCAATTCTGCAGTTCTCTTTGGCAGACCAAAAAAGATTTTATTAAAATAAACTTTCAGGAAATGAAGTTAGCAATATATACAGTAGGCATATATTATCTCAGGATTATTTTCTCACTAAAATCCTCTAAGATGGCTATTGAAATTTCATACCAGCAATTATCATTAATTGCAAGCATAGACCAAAATAGACAAAATAGAGATAGTTTACATGTCATATTGAAATAAGGTAGCAGTTTTTAAGCAATGAACCTATCATTAATGAAAAGCTTAAATTCTTTCTCCAGTTGGTCTTGAAGTATGAGGTTTACAGTGTATGTTATGGCAAAACTCCAGCAGCTGACTAATTTATAAATAGGGAGTAGATTGGTTATAGTTTCCTATGGTAATTCAGGATTCAAGTTTCTTTATTCAAAAATAATTTAGAAGTCATTAAGGGATTTGAGTATAATTGAAGTACAATAAATTGTCATTGCAATTTTATTCCAGAGTTCCAAATTTAGGTGTTAAAAGTGGTTCTTTTATCTATGATTATCTTGATTGAGTAATCCTGCTTAATTATTTAATTAAAGCATAAAACAATTCAAATAACACAGACACCACTCAATCCCAAACTGTCAGCTGAATTAAGGCCAGTGTAGTTATCTGTGTTTTTGGTTTTGTTTGTTTGTTTTGAGACGGAGTTTCACTCTTGTCACTCAGGCTGGAGTGCAGTGGTGTGATCTCGGCTCATTGCAACCTCCACCTCCTGGATTCAACTGATTCTCCTACCTCAGCTTCCCAAGTAGCTGGCATTATAGGTGCCCGCCACCACACCCAGCTAATTTTTTGTATTTTTAGTAGAGATGGGTTTTCGCCATGTTGGGCAGGCTGGTCTCAAACTCGTGACCTCAGGTGATCCCCCGGCCTCGGCATCTCAAAGTGCTGGGATCATAGGCGTGAGCCACTGTGCCCAGCCTATCTGTGTATTATTCCATGTACATGAGTATGGTTGTAAATGAAGAAGGAAGAATAGCACTTTTCACTTCTGGTCTACAGCCAAGTCATGTCTCCCATGAAAATATTTACAATATGATAAGAATGAACAATATTCAAGATGCTTAAGGTGCTAGGGAAATGAAACACATAGCAGCAGCAGCTCCCACTTAAATAGGGCTTACTGTGTACAGAGTACAGGTCCTAGAGCTTTGGATATATGAACTGATTTAATTTGCACGGCAAATTCATGAGGTTACTACTATAACACCCCATTTTACAGATGAGGGCTAAAACATCGAAAGGGTTAGTAACTTGCCAAGGTCATGAACTTGGTAAATCAAAGAGCCAAAATTAAAACCCAGACAATTTGACTTCATAACCCATGCTCTTAGCCAAGTAACAAAGTTTAACCAGGCTAGAGAGTAACACTTGGCCAATTGTCCCAAATATCTGAGACCAAACAATCTGGAGTCACTTTAGCTAGAATCTTCAATAGAGTGGCTAACATTACTGATATTATTTTCTGCAACCTCCTTCCCTCCCTTACTTGAAAATTTATCTTAGACCTCTACTGATTTCTCTACTTTCTTCCTTCATTGGGGATAAGTATCCCTCTTCCTTTCCAAGGCTAACTGAACGTTCCACTTTAGCACTTAATTCCATCCCCTATCATACTCTTTAAATAACCTTGATTCTTAACTGTCCTGACCCTACTACACAGTACCTCTCTCTTCACCCAAGCCTATATATTTCCATCTCTACTTCTTTGAGAAAAGAAATAATACCACAACCCTACTCCCCCATAGAGCTACCATACCATCTTCATTCCTTTACCCTTGATATTTTCATTTTAAGGAAAAGCGGCTAAAATGGGTCCAAATCAATCACCATGCTTTAGTCAGAGACTAAAAAGGAATCATGATGTGAATTTTTCAATTTCTGTGATGTAAAGAGAACAGAACCTGGAGCCAGAAGTCTACCCTGCTTAACGGTATGAAGTCTGGGCATCAATCACATGCAAAATGGGAATAATGACACTATTTCACTGGGTTCTTGTGAGGATTACATGTGAGCAAGTGTAGAAACAGCACTCAAATTGATGGGGGGCATGGCTCTACACAATAAAAAATTTTTAAATATTTGTTGAATATGAATTAGAAGGATTATAATAATAAAGTTAGAAAAATATCCTCTAATAATCAATAAAAAGATCAAAACTGATGAAAAGGAGAGAGTGCCAGTGTGTAAATGAGAGACAGATCAAGATCATGGGGGAGGAAATGATATTCTGTAGACACTAATACTCAAAATGTACACTAGAATTCATTCATTCAGCAAATATTAATAAAACACCTACTGTGTTCCTAGAACTGGTCATGGCATTTGAGATTCATAGTGAACTAAACAGACAGAATCTTTCTGCCATCTGACTCTGCCCACTCCAAAAGATTAACCCTTCTAAAGAACCATCGTGATGGGTTATTTCCTAGTTTGAAAGTCTTAAATAGTTCTTTATTGTCTACTTAATAAATTCCTAGCCTCCTAACCTGTCATCCAATGTCTTTTATATTTTCTCGAGCTCAAAACATTTTTTTCAGCTTAATTTCTTACTATTTCAACTTTTCCCCTCAAAAGACAGTAAAAAAAAAAAAACATTTTAAAAAGACCAGGACATAGGCATGGGCAAGGACTTCATGTCTAAAACACCAAAAGCAAAGTCAACAAAAGCCAAAATTGACAAATGGGACCTAATTAAACTAAAGAGCTTCGCACAGCAAAAGAAACTACCATCAGAGTGAACAGCCAATCTAAAGAATGGGAGAAAAATTTTGCAATCTACTCATCTGACAAAGGAGTAATATCCAGAATCTACAAAGAGCTCAAACAAATTTACAAGAAAAAAAACAAACAACCCCATCAACAAGTGGGCGAAGGATATGAACAGACATTTCTCAAAAGAAGACATTTATGCAGCCAAAAGACACATGAAAAAATGCTCATCATCACTGGCCATCAGAAAAATGCAAATCAAAACCACAATGAGATACCATCTCACATCAGTTAGAATGGTGATCATGAAAAAGTCAGGAAACAACAGGTGCTGGAGAGGATGTGGAGAAATAGGAACACTTTTACACTGTTGGTGGGACTGTAAACTAGTTCAACCATTGTGGAAGACAGTGTGGTGATTCCTCAAGGATCTAGAACTAGAAATACCATTTGACCCAGCCATCCCATTACTGGGTATATACCCAAAGGATTATAAATCATGCTGCTATAAAGACACATGCACACGTATGTTTATTGCGGCACTATTCACAATAGCAAAGACTTGGAACCAATCCAAATGTCCATCAATGATAGACTGGATTAAGAAAATGTGGCACATATACACCATGGAATACTATGCAGCCATAAAAAGGATGAGTTCATGTCCTTTGTAGGGACATGGATGAAGCTGGAAACAATCATTCTCAGCAAACTATCGCAAGGACAAAAAAACCAAACACCCCATGTTCTCACTCACAGGTGGGAATTGAACAGTGAGAACACTTGGACACAGGAAGGGGAACATCACACACCAGGGCCTGTTGTGGGGTGGGGGGAGTGGGGAGGGATAGCATTAGGAGATATACCTAAAGTAAATGACGAGTTAAGGGGTGCAGCACACCAACATGGCACATGTATACATATGTAACAAACCTGCACATTGTGCACATGTACCCTATTAAAGTATAATAAAAAATAAATAAAATTTTAAAATATTACTTTTAAACATAAAAAATAAAAAGACTCTAGAACTGCTCTAGTTTTGGAATCAAAGTATATTTTAGTATAGCTGGGACATTTGAGAAGTTTGAGAAAGGAAGAATTGCAGATGATGGGACTGTGAAGGAAAATTGGACTCCAGCCAGATTATAAAGGACATTATATGCCACACTAAGAAGTCTCAGTTTGTTCATAAAGACAACTGAACATTGTTATAACCAAGAAGTGTTATGATCAGATCTGTGTTATTGAAAGGTAATTCTGGGGACAGTTGTAGGATGAATTTGAAGAGATGTCTGGTGGCATGAGAAACAGCTAAGAGAATATTGCCATAATGATGAGAGATGGTGACAGCTAAATGAATAATGCAGTGGAGCTCATGGCACGAAGGACCTTATTCCTAGGAAACATTTCAGAGCTATTACCAATAAGGTCAGAGACAGGTTGGCAGAATGGTTTAATAGTTATGTGGTTCTGGAATCAGACTGCCCTTGTCTCAGACCTGTCTTGCCCAATTACTAGTTTATGACTTTTGTCAAGTTACCATATCTCTCTTACATTCATTTTCCTCATTTTTAATGTAGAGATAAATACCATCTACCTCCAGAGATGCTATAAGAATTAAAGTCAATACTCCATACCGAGTTCTTGGCAACAAGCCGGCTAAGGAAGTGCTTTATGAATGTTAGCTATAAGCTGTAAAACGTAGAGAGTCAGAAGCATCATTTCCTCCCAGCTTTGTGTGTCTTCGAATTTGTTGAGCATTCCTTATGCTGTACATATATTGCATGTTTACCTTTATTGAACCATTCTTCATGCCGTCTCTTTCAGTTTGATTTCCATCTGCTAAAATCCAACCTAATCCCAAGTCCTTGATTTAGTCATCTTTTAATTCCCAGTGCTTTAACACATTTTAGATTTCAATTAAATTTGGTCGAAGTTCTCTGAAAACCTCACCAAACATGTTTTTTTCACCCTCTGAACTTTCACAGGACTTCATATTATTCTTGACCCTTACCACAGATAATCTTGCATTTGAGGACTTAATGTATGTAACTGATCTCCCTTCATTGCTCTGTGAGACCCTTCCCCACTGCAATTCTTTTGGTGCTTTGCACCTAATTAGATTGGTCTCTTACAAGATAAGTCTGAGCATAACTGTTTAATGATTCACTCACTCACACACTCAGTGACAAATAATTCAAAGGAAAACCATCAACTAGATTTTAAGCACCTATTGACCTAAACTGATTCTCCTTGTAGTCAATACTTACTTCTAATGTTTCATCATCCTGGAACCTGTAGTGGGAAAGCAGTCTGAAAGATGCTCATTAAGTAATCTTGAATTCATACAATTTAGTTCTCTGTTGATTGCCCTTGGGCACTTTATTATTCTTACAAAACCTTTCCAAAAAGTAAAACTCAAATTTTCTCAATTTAAGATAATTTTAACTTTTAAGCAAACGTCATGCTATAATTTAACAGAGATGATAGCTGTTTATCCTGATTGAGTCACATCACATTTCACTGTGTGGGCAGGCATCTGAATGTTTTACAAACAGCAGTTATGAAGGGTGTAAATATTGGTTGGCTTAACTTAGTTTAGAAACACAAGGCTGCTACGGCCAGTGATCTAAACCACCACCACTGTTCCACTAAAATATTTTGGGTAGGGCTTTAAAATGTTTTGGGAGGGCAGCCAGCCAAACACATGTGCCATCCAGATTTCCAAGTCTAGGAGTGGGAAAGAGGGAAACCTGCCTGAGCATGCGCAGAGCAGAGAGCAACCCCACAGTCACTTCTTCTATGCTCTAGTGCTGTGCCCCTGCCTGGGCCCCTGGCAGCACAACCGTCCTGACTGCAGCCACTCCAGGCCCTGTGGCATACAACATTCACCCTGACATTACGCCAGAATCAGGCTGCCTCTGCCTGTCACCAGGGGCCAAAAGACAGGATTCCACTGCATCTGAAGCAAATGTTGTTGAGGCATGCCAGGAAAACTGTGAATCAGAGGCCAATTTGGGAAGCAAACCACCTCACAGATTTCTTGCTCAACCTAGGAACAAAACTCCTATCATTTGAAAGCATCAATATACACCTCCTTCATTCCAAAGACATCATAGCCATTCTGTATCTTATAACCTCTATTCTGCTACCCACAAGTGGTTGTTATATTTATTCATCAGACACACAAATAAGTATCTGCACACTGCATCCTACACCCCTTCCCAAGGGTATGCCTTATGGCACATAGACGGCAAAAGCAATGTATCACTCCCACTTCTACCAATCAGAAAACAGGCTATCCACATTCTTTTCCATGTATTAGAAACATGTGCCTCTGATCCAAAGACTTTTGGTTGATAGGACTCTCAGAATGCAAACATAAGTTCCAAGTATAAATTAACAGAATGTGTAGTTAATTTAAAAATAAACAGTTAAAATCCAAACATATTAAAAGTCCAATTCAAATATAAATTTCATGCATATCAAAAATTTGCACTCTCTAATTATTAAAACAGTAACATTTGTGTAGTCATTCAACATTTTTTCCAATGTACAATAAAATTTATAGGGTGATTTTAATGCCATCTGTACTTCTGCTTTTCTCCATCCAAATGGCAACCTTATTTTCCCCAACCCCAACATCCAAAATCTCTTTGATGTTGGAATTCTTTTGCTGAAACCTACTAAAATTTGGACAACTGTTTGAAAAATTCAATATTCTCACAGAAAGACTACATTTATATTGCTCATGATAAAATAATTATTTGTGCATCAAAAGATAGACTGCTATCTAAATAACTACTTTTTAAAATGTGAGCATGATTCAATTTGATAAACATTAATTAACTTTACTATAGGTTGGTTCCAATGCTAGACATTATATATAATAAATATAAGCCCCCTCAATGAGCTTATAATCTAATGGGTAAAATAGATATTAAAATATCTAACTATAACCTAAAATGGAATAATGTAAGAACTAAAGTGAATTATAAACATGTTATAAGATTAAAATGGAAAGAACTAATCATCTTGATGAAGGGATTAAGATAATGTTTCATAAAGGAAGTAGCACATGAGCACCTTGAAAGATGAGTAAGATTATGATAGAAAAGAGATGAAGAATCTTCTACTCTCTAAAACATCATAGCTTAAAAGTACAAAGTGGGTGCAGAAACTCACAAATAGCATGGAACGGCCAGAGGACGTGGCATGATTATGACCTTCAGCATTTATATGTTAGTTATTTACTACACATTCAGATGTCTCTATCTCGTGCCTGTTATATTCCAGGCAGAGTACCTGGCACTGAGGATTCAACAAGGGTTGAGATTTAGTCTTGCCTTCCTATATAGAGAGGATTTTGTAAAATTTCATTTTCGTAGGCAAAAAGAAGTTTGTGAAGGTTCTCATGGAAAGAGATGGAATAAATGAGCCTGTGTTTTGAGAGCACTATCCTTTGAAAACACATCAAACAGATTGGAGGGACAAGACTGAAAACAGGAAGAGTTTCAAGTATCTTGGAGGACACTTATACTCTGCAGTGCTATTTTCTTCCTGGTAGAATTAAGGCCACCAGCAGTATTACCCAAGGCTTCTCTTCTCACTGTGACATGGAGAAATGATTTGCCAGATTGGTGAATTTCAAAGGAGAAACCAGGCATGTAGAGTTCTGTTCACCCCTCCTCCTGATCTCTTGGGAAAGCACCTGACCTTGGAGATCTGTTCTCCTCATCTTCTCCAGGCTACAAGTTGTCCACAGCTGACTATAACTGGGTGGGTAAGGCTGGCTAATTCAAAAGTTTATATTTAGGAAAATCTGGAGATCTTTGCAAATCAGAAAAGATTGTCCTCATATTTTTTATTTTATTTTTTTGAGATAGAGTCTCGCTCTGTTGCCCAGACTGGAGTGCAGTGGTGCAATCTCAGCTCTCTGCAACCTCCACCTCCCAGGTTCAAGTGATTCTGGGACTACAGGAGCACACCACCATGCCCAGCTAATTTTTTTGTATTTTTAGTAGAGACAGGGTTTCACCATGTTGGCCACGCTGGTCTCAAACTCCTGACCTCATGACCTGCCTGCCTCGGCCTCCCAAAGTGTTGGGATTACAGGCGTAAGCCACCGCGCCCAGCCACTGTCCTCATACTTTTATACCTGCATAGTATTCCCTTTTTGGATGCATCTTAACATTACTGTTGGAAACTTAGGTTATTTGCAAGGTTTCCTATTATAAACAATACTGCAGTTAATGACTTGTGCAGACCTCATTTCATATATTTATCCACTTATCTGTGATCTAAGTACCTAGAAGGAAAGTCTATATACATTCACAATTTTAGTAGACATTGCTCAGTTGTCCTCCACATGGTTGGACTAATTTATGTACAGCAATATATGAGAGCCAATTTACCCCACATTACTTGCCATTCCAATATTTAGATTTTTATTCAGGTTCCTCAGTTTATAGAAAATGTATTTTATAGAACATTTTCTAATCTTGGCACACTGTGAAAGTTAAAATTCTTATTATGTATGACAATTCTCTGCCTAAACAATTTGTGAGGTTCTAAAATATAAAAACATTATGTGAACATCAAGGTGCATGGATCTCCTCACTTATTTAATTTTAATATTTTAAGATATATCTCAATATATGGAAAAACATACTCTGAGCTTCAATATAGTCAAATGTAATTTGACTTTAAAACAGATTTTGCTTTTCTGAATTGGAATTTGAAATGCCAAAATATCTAAGTTGTACTCAGATGTAATGTTTATTACCACAGGTGTAACAACAAATGTAATTATTGTCAGTTAAACAATTTTAAGATGTGTGATATGCAGGGAAATGGGCCAGATCTTGGAAATAGAAAGAAAAATAAGATACCTGTTACCCCCTTCCCTCAGAGTAATTACCATGCATTAATAATTACTACAGAATATAGTAAAAGACAACTTCCAAGTGGAGAAGTATTTTATTTCAACCAATGAAAAGCCTTTTTACCTATACAATACTACCTCTTATTAAAATACATCTAGGCCAGGCGCGGTGGTTCACACTTGTAATCCCAGCACTTTGGGAGGCCAAGTCGGGCAGATCACGAGGTCAGGAGATCGAGACTGTCCTGGCTAACACAGTGAAACCCTGTCTCTACTAAAAATACAAAAAATTAGCCAGGCGTGGTGGCAGGCACCTGCAGTCCCAGCTACTCAGGAGGCTGAGGCAGGAGAATGGCATGAACCTGGGAGGCAGAGCTTGCAGTGAGCCGATATCGTGCCACTGCACTCCAGCCTGGGTGACAGAGTGAGATTCTGTCTCAAAAAAAATAAAATAAAATAAAAAATAAATACACCTAATCCCTTTTGTTGTGAAATAAATTTATTTATGTTTGTCGTGAAAATCAGTTCTGTTGGGTTAATATCTATTATTTATGTTGTGAAGTTAATTTCTGTCCATGCAAAAGTATGAGTCCAGATAATTACATTGATAATGCTACAAATTTTGGCAGAGTGGTCATCTCATATTTTCTTCCACTGGTCCATAAAAACTAAAACATTGCAGCTGACAATTACCCTACAATATCTAATTTTATATCCAAAATAACTTATTTACATTGTTGCTTTTTCCCCATAATTTTAAATGACCAGTCTTTTCTGAATGGACATCTTAGCTAAAAACATCTGATCATTTTATTAGGAAGAGCAGATAATAACTAATTCAGTAAAAAGTGAAAGTGTTCTACTTTTGCTTAACATGATAACTCTGGTCCCAGAACTGCTGAAAAAATGCACTATGCAGTTTCATAACTAAGTCCTGTCCTCAAAATGAAAGATTGTAAGGAATATGATGTGTTTGAGTCTGTGTGGGAGACTTGTAATGTTAGAAGAGTTCTTTTTTTCCATTCATATATGGGATTTAATTCCTCTTTCACCTAAAAGAGGAAGGACAGGGAACCTCAGCAGCCCAGAAAAAGCCACGTCGCCAGAGAGCAACATGGTGGAATGAGAAGAACATGGGGCCAGGAGAACCGGGTGCCAACTTCAGCTCTGACAGCCAATGAGCCAGGGCAAATTACCAGGCACCCAGGAGAAACAGGTGTCAACCTTGGCTCTGACAGCCAATGAGCCAGGGCAAATTACCTGCCAAATCTTCACTCATTTTCTCAGCTGTAAAGCTTCACCAGATGTTCTCTAAGACTTCCAGTTCTGATATTCTCGTCTATATTCTGACATTTCCAACCTTAATCTTGTACTTCTTCTTCCCAAGACAGCAGACGGGAAGATCAGAGAAGTATGTCATATCTGAGTAGGAAAGAAGTCAATCGTGACTTTCAGTACCTTTTGGACACTCTAGTCCAGAAATGCTTCTGGTGGCAGAACAGTGGCTACTGAAAGAAAAAAATGCACTAGGAGACAATTATGCAAGCAAAAAATGCTTATTTCTTTCCTTCTCCAAATGTGAAAAACAAAAATGTGACTGAGTACTGTATGCTATTGTAAGATTTTCCATTTATAGAGTCTTATAGTAATATTCATTCAAGTCCTAATTTTCCAAGGTTATTTTTAACCTCAGTAACAGTATGATTGTTCTACTTCACTATGGTAACCATATAACATCAATTTTCCAAGACAGCCTCAATTTTAATTGACTTGTCCCTAATTTAGACCAAATTTTAGACTTATCCCTTTTGTAAGTTTAGGGAATATGATTACCCATGTATTTAATTATCCCCTGTCAGTGTCTCTCTTTCTTGATTACAATAACAAATTCGACATGAAAATAAAAGAGTAAGGAGAGACCCAGATTTTAATATTTCACATCTTTGTACTTGGCAAATGGTCTCACAAGCTGACATGGTGACAGAAGAGTTGGAGGCTCACAGAAAATCTACCCATTAAGTAGACACAGATACTAGGAGATATTTGGCTACGTTAACGGACCACGCAGAGTTCAGAAGGCCTGGAAAGAAAAGTCAGGATTGTTTTATTTTTAGTGGCATTTTCAAGTGAAGATACTAGGGTCCCTATCAGGGGAGAGAAGCCAACTAAGTTTAAGAAGCCAGAAAGGCTGATAGTTGTCTTCTGGGAAAAATATACAAGGGCCACAAGACCTTGGTAACCAGACTGAGGTCCCAGGTACTACACAGGAGTCCACATAGAAAAGAGAAAGAAGAGGGCAAAGAAGGTTATCAGAAATGCCCAATGCTGGATACAACGATATATGGAAGAAAGGAAAATGTTTATTACTTTTTTATATATTGACTATAGGCATCATGACACTGTGTTCCTAAATCCTTTAGTATACATGATCAAAATAAAAGTAGTTTTTAAACTTTGTTGTATTATATTCCTCTTTCAAAAAAACTGCTATAAGCTATGAAGTCTTTCAGAAAAAAAATGCAAACACACAATATTGTACAGTTCATTTCAGGGGAATCACAGCTTCCCAGAAAGTCATCCACAGACTTCAATTCAAAACCTTTAGCAAACAGAGATAATGTCTTTTTAAGATAACCTAGGAGTACAGTGCCTGCAAATGCCAAGGCTAGTTGGCAACTAAGAGTATTTGGGTAGCCCAGTGACTGCAGGAGACTCATTCTAGAACTGGGAGGATAATTAGTAAAGTCAGTCTCATGGGGAGCAGAAGTTGTTCTGTTTGGTCTAGAAAGTGATGTAGGGCTTAGATTTGCGGTATGAAAATCAGTAGGCCTGGCTCTTGAAAGCTCAATCCGGCAAAGGCTGAGAAATGATGTGTTCAATGAGGTGATGAGGTTGATGTAAACAAAAAACCTACTGCCTGTGCACCATGACCTACACCACAGACAAAAATAAAGTCGGGTTTTTCTAAGGGTCAAGCATGAATAGTAAAGGTCAGAGAAGAGGGTTCTGCTAATGGCATTTGGCAAAAGGTAAAAGAAGGAAAGAAAGGTGGTGACCAGATGTTCTCTATTCAGAATATGTAAAAGGGAAATTACATTACAGTAGTTGGAATTCAAGTTATATAAAAGGAAAATCTTCCATCCAGTGAACTTTGTAAAGCATGAGACCTAGTTACTGATGGACAGACACTATTATTCTCCTTCCATGAATTGTTCAAAAATAGAACAGATATTTGTGTGTTTTTAGAGATTTGAATATAAAGTTTCCAGAAACAAAAGTTCAGGATGGGCATTCATGGAGATATTCAAATTCCTTGAAAGACTGACATATCCATCTATTTGATATTTATTTCATTATAAAAATGTTTATAATTATTTTTAAATCCATTGAATTCCTCTAATCTGACACTTCACCCAAACTTTTCCATAAAAAATTACCGAGAATAAGAATTGCTTGATGTAACTCACAATCAATATAATCATGCGGATTCCATTCAGCATCTTTAGTGTTCTTACTAATTCTAACTAACTTGTATTAAGAACAATTAATACTGAAACCATCAAGCTGTTGCCATCAAGTTATGTATCCCTAATTGAAATTATATTTTTAAGCAAAATGATTCTGATATCTACATACATATGTTGAAAATAACATCCTAAGTAAGTACATTCTGGAAAACTATGCAGAAAATAATGGAAAAGTAAATACAAAAGATGTTCTGGAAAGACTGTTAGAAAAGTAATGAGATTTACAGATTGACTAAAACACCAGGAAAACCTCCAAAGAATATTTGACATTTGGTCAGTCAGTCAGAGGAGAGTTGGCAGTTGGTCAGGAAAAATGTGAATCATAAAAGTCTATCTCTTCCATTATACAATGCATATGAATCAGATGTCTGTTAGCTCGTTCTTGGTCTCAAACCTAAAGTCAGCAACTGCTTTATTTATTTGGCTTCATGACCCAGATTAGATTTCCTGTTCTTTCAACTTGTAATACGTGTAGCTCACACTCACACAGAATTTGGGGTAGAGTGTAATGATCCTCCCATCCATTCACACCATCTTTTATTTTGGCCAGTTGCTGGGGCAAAATTGCCATGTCTATCACCTACAGCAGAAATTTGGTCTTCCAGCCAAATATTAGGAAGCACAGTAGTGACTGCTATGGCAACAGACTAAACAGACCATCTAAAAGGTAGCTGGAAGAAGAGGTAAGCTATTTCAAATACAGAGAGGTAGGAAAGTTTAAATTTCTCAAATCCTAAAATATGAAAACCAAGAGCATACACATCATAGTTATGGCAATCTTGATGAAAATATAAATAATTATTTTCTATTATTGTTTTATCAATATTACTTTCTAAGAATTTGTTAAATGACTTAATCTCAGCTTCTAATGAGCTACAAATTCAAAAGAAAATTTCAAAATAATAACGCTTGTCCAGTTTCCAAATGCTGACTCCTTAAATAAGATTACATACAAATAATTTGAAATGATTTCATTCCTTTAGAGTTGTTCCCATCTAGCCTTCCAGTTGAAAAGAAAAATATTAGCAGCACCAAATGTAAGCAACAAAGGAAGAAAGGACACCACCTGTCCAAACCCTACCTTCAGTTTTTTTCTCTGAAAGCTTTTAGTTTTCTTGGTCCTTCCATTATAAACAAACACACACACAGACAGATACACACACATACATGCACACACACACACACATACACACTAGTTTACCAACTTTTTATCAGGACAAAGTTTTTTTAGTCACTTGTACAAAAGTATAAGATGATTGCCTGCTGTATTTGTGGGGTTGGCTGAAACTTTAAAACTGATCACGAAGAGAAACAGCATTTATGGTTCACCGACTAGTTCTCTAAAACAGTGAATCTAAGCCCTGTCTGGCTCAGTCTTCTTTATAAAAAATATTTTTTTAACATTCTTGTACTATCATGAAATTTTCAGAACATATAACTTACACACATACCTAATTTTAAATCCCTATATTGTTCTAATTACATAAGAACAATATAATCTAATTAATCCCTATATTGTTCTAATAAGAAATTTAAAAGGAATTTAAAATAAAATAAGTATTTCAATATTCAGATCCTCAACCATGATGACACTAGATGATGGGGACTAATAAGATTCTCATTATCAACCAATATGGATTTATAATAAGTAGGACAATATTCATCTGGTTATTGCAGATGCATTCTGATATTCAACATCTAGATATAAAAACTAAATTATTATGGTCAGATTAAATGTATGTCACAGTTGCATTCCAGA
Organism: Homo sapiens; assembly: GCF_000001405.40. NCBI lineage: Eukaryota > Metazoa > Chordata > Mammalia > Primates > Hominidae > Homo > Homo sapiens. Next base: position 189,262,961 of record NC_000002.12, read on the forward strand.
GAAATTTATTACATATTAAAACTATTCAGAAAATAATTGGTGTTTGCATATATAATGAAGTTGTTCCTATGCTCAAATAATTACAAATGGATTTTGTAATTGAATGACTGGCAAGACCTTCAGTCAAGCAGGACATAGGAGAATTCTTCCCTGCATTCCAGGAAATAAAGCATCTCCAATTTCCAGCCACTTGATGTCGTTTCAATTGTTATAACAAATAAAATGCTCTCAAAAACATCCAAAATTCCCCTAGAGAGAAGTATCCCATCCTCCACCACCAACCTTGAGAACCACAGGTCTAGAAGGAGATAGCTGGGCAACTTTAAACCCATATTGGATGTAAGGTGGGACATGAAGTGTTTCCTTTGGGGAGATTATAACAGAATATATGTGTGCCATTACAAATACAGTCATGTACTGCATAATACTTTAGTCGACAGTAGACAATATATACAATGGTAGTCCCATACGTTTATAATGGAGCTGAAAATTTCCTATTACCTAGTGACGTAGCTTTCCTAACATTGTGGTACAACTCATTACTCACATGTTTGTGGTGATTCTGGTGAAATAAATCTACTATGCTGCCAGTCACATAAAAGTGTAGAGTAATGCCCTAGGTCTTCACATTCACTCACTACTCACTCACTCAGAGCAATTTCTAGTGCTGCAACCTCCATTTATGGTACATGCCCAATACAGGTGTACCTTTTTAAATCTTTTATATCATATTTGTTACTATACCTTTTCTATGTTTAGATAGATTTAGATACACAAATACATACCATTGTGTTACAGTTGCCTAGAGTATTCAGTACAGTAACATGCTGTAAGGTTTGTATCCTACGTGTGTAGTAAGTAATCTAGGTTTGTCTAAGTACACTCTTTGATATTTGCACAGAAGAAATCACCTAATGAAGCATTTCTCAAAATATATCTCCATCATTAAGTGACACATAACTATACTTTCAAGTTCAAAGAATTGGAATATGCAAACTATGCTCTCTGACTATAAAGAAAATAAATCAAAAGTCAATAACAAAGATAAGTTTTAAATTAAGTATGTTCTCTGACTATAAAGAAAATAAATTGAAAGTCAATAACAAATATGTTTTAAATTAAGTATGTAAAAAATCAATTGCATTCTTACATACTAGCTACAAACAGCTAGAAAATACGTGTGTAAGATACAATTTATAATAGCAAAAATACAAAGAATGAAAGAAAATATAACAAAATGTGTAAAATAAGTCCAAGAGATAATATTATAAAATTTTATTGAAATTCATTAAAGAAAATCTAAATAATGGAAAACATTTAGTATGGATATTGAAAGGAAAACGGTATTCTGACCATGTCTGTTTTCAAGTGACATAAATGTGTAACATCAAATGATATACTATGCAGTCATGAAAATGAATAAACTACAGCTTTTTGAAGCAACATAGATAAATCTTAAAAACGTGTTTATAGAAAGAAGGGAAATTCTAAAGCATGTATACTGTTTGATTATATTTGTAGTAAACTCAAAAACAGGAAAAACTAAACTGTATTGTTTAGGGATGCATACATGATGGTAAAACCATAAAGAAAAGCAAAGAGACAGTTACAGTAAATCAGAATGGTGGTTAACTCTAGAGGGAAACAGACAGTGTATAATCACGAATAGCTTCAATAAGATAAATATATATGCAGCCCAATAAAAAAACAGGCAAGATATATGAATCCTTGGACTCATAAAAAGCAATAAAATTTAAATTTTAAGTTATTTCATAGTAAAACTGAAAAGACAAAAATCTTAAAAGCAATCAAAAAGAAAAGACAGATGACATACAAAGAACATTTATCACAAAATAACCTATTCAGAGTACTGAGGAAAAATATTGCCTAAAGAGAAATCTCCACTTAGCTAAATTACTGCACAAGCTGAAGTGTGAAAGAAAAATTTCAGAAAAAGACCTACTGGAAAATTGATCTTTTACTTAAGCAACCACAGTGGTATCGAGGAATATGTAAGATTGGTACTAGTTGCTTGAGCATGGTGAGGGAGCAGGCAGAGAGCCTCTTCAGAAAAGTTGGAAGGGGCCAAAGGTTACAAAAATCCCTGGGGGACCAAGATCATATAAAAACACTAATTCAAAATGAACCAGAGACCTAAGTATTATAAGAACAAAACTACAAAACTCTTGGAAGGAAGCATAAGAGTAAATCATTGTGACCTTAGATTGGGCAATTTCTTATGTGACATCAAAAGAACAATCAGCAAAAGAAAAAAATAGATTTACCAGATTAACATAAACTTGGTGCCTTACAACAACAGATATTTATTCTCACAGTTTGGAAAGCTAGAAGTCCAAAACCAAGGTGTCAGCGGAGCCATATTCTCTCTGAAGGGTCAAAGGAGCCCCCTTCCTTGACTCTCTTTAGCTTGCCACCAACCCTTTGTGTTCTTAACTTGTAGACACAGCCTTCCAATCTCCATCATCAAGTGACGTTCTCCATGTGTGTTCTGTATTCAAATTTTTCTTTTCTTATAAAGACACCAGTCAGTGGATTAGGGCCCATCCTAATCCAGTAAGACCTCATCTCAACTTAATTACATCTTCAAAGACCTTGTTTCCAAATGTGGTTACATTCAAAAGTACCTGGGGTTAAGACTTCAACAAATCTTTTATGGGACATAATACAACCTTCAGGAATCTCAACTTTGATAAAATAATTTCACCAAAGAAGATACACAAATACCTAATAAATGTATAAAAAGTGCTCATTATCATTAGCCACCAGGAAATCAAAATCACAATGTAATACCACTTAACACTCAGAGAAGTGGCTAGACTCATAAAACAAACAAAAACAGGTATTGGTGAGGAAGTGAAGAAACTGAAACTCTCTCATACACTGCTAGAAGGAATGTAAAATGTTGTAGCCACTTTGAAAAACAGTTTGGCATTTCCCCAAATAGTTAATCATAGAGTGACCATATGACCCAAATATTCCACTCTTAAATAAATGAAAACATACGTTTACACAAAAGCTTGTACACCAAAGTTTATATCACAATTATTAATAATAGCTAAAAGGTGAAAACAAGCCAAATGTCCATCAACTGATGAGTGGATAAATATTCATGTGGTATATCCATGCAAGGGAATATTATTCAGCCATAAAAAAGATGTAAAATAGGCTGGGTGTGGTGGCTGATGTCTGTAATCCCAGCACTTTGGTAGGCAGAGATGGGCTGATCATGAGGTCAGGAATTAGAGACCAGCCTGACCAACATGGTGAACCCCTGTCTCTACTAAAAATACAAAAATTAGCGGGGCATGGTGGCACGCACCTGTAATCCCAGCTACTGAAGAGGCTGAGGCAGGAGAATTGCCTGAACCTGGGAGGCGGAGGTTACAGTGAGCCGAGATTGTGCTGCTGCACTCCAGTCTGGATGACAGAGCAAGACTTCATCTCAAAAAAAAAAAAAGATATGAAATATAGATACATGCAACCACATGGATGACCCTTAAAAACTTTCTGCTAAGTGCAAGAACCCTGAAGACATAAAAGGCCATGTATTTTATGATCCTAAATCTATGAAGTGTCCAAAATAGGCAAATATCTAGATACAGAAAGTAGATTAGTGGTTGTTAGAGGCAGGAATGAGGGGAAAATAAGGAATGACTGCTCATGGGAATAGGGTGTGTTTTGGGGATGGGGTGATGAAAATATTCTAAAATTACATATTAGGATGCTTGAACTCTGTGAATATATGAAAAAATACTGAATTATACACTTTAAAGAGGTGAATTTATGGTATATGAGTTATACCTCAAAAGATGTTATAAAAGATATGTTAAAATACTGCTCAAAAGCACTTTCTGTCACTAGGTAGTCAAATGAAATATATAGATAATCTATGACCAGTCATTCTACTCCTAGGTACATATATGCAAAAATTCTTGGACAGTTAACATAAAATCTCTAAAAATATTTGTTATATTAATGAAAATAAATATTATATTAAAACAAATATACATATAATATTAATAAAATGATAAATGAATTGATAAAAAGCATTGGGCTATGAAACCAACAAGAATATATAATACAATGCCAAGAATCTTATGGTGGTGGGTTTGGTTGGCCTATTTGATTTGATAGAGTTATTTTCATAGTTGGCCAAATGACTTTTAGTAAACCACTTATTTTTGACCCTAAAAGCATTTCTGTAAATATAAATATAATGTAAGACACACATTGCCTGCATCCATACTCTTGCCTTGGTAGGAGTCAGATGAAGTATACAGATAATCTATGACCAGCCTAGAAGGTATATTTTTCCAAAAATTCTTAGACTGTTACATAAAATCTCTAAAAATATTTATTATAGTGTAATATGTAGTACTGGCAAGTTGGAGGCAACCTGGGTGTTCATCGCTACATATTTGCTTATTAAAAATACAATCACAAAACATTCATCTTGCAAAAACACATACAAATGAAAAGGAACATGCTAAATGCATTTTTTAAATAATTGCCTAAGAAGAAGAAAATAGGAGCAATAAATATAGGAATAAAAGAGAACTAATTATTTTCATGTAACGTACCCATCATTTTTAAAAAGCAATAGAATAAGAAGGCCAGGAAATTGGGGAATGAGGATACTGAATGTGGAGCACAGTGGGGTTGATGCCTGAGACTGGACTTTTACATGCTCCTGGAGACATGATTCACAAAGGCAGGGTGACTCCTACCAAGTCCAGAGTAAATGCGGGCAATGTGTGTCTCACATTATATTTATATTTACAGAAAAGCTTTTAGGGTCAAACATAAATGGTTTACTAAAAGTCATTTGGCCAACTATGAAAATAAATCAAGTAGGCCAACCAAACCCACCACCAAAAGATTCTTGGCATATATTATATATTCTTGTTGGTTGCATAGCCCAGTGCTTTTTTATCAATCCATTTATCCTTTCATTAAATATTTTTATACATTATGATTCCTTCTGTATTATCTTTATTGACTATTTAATACAAAGATGCATCTCCAGATATGTGGGCTTTATATGTTTCCCTATCCCAAAGTGGCATTAAAAATTATGTTATCCACTGTCTTTTTACATTCAGTAAATAGTATTCAGATAGAGTTCTGGTTTTATTTGTTCCCATACTCTTTGAGTCACAGTACTTTTGAAATAAATTTTAAAAGGAAGTTCTTCATTAGTATGAACTCTTTGTTTAGTCAGAATTACAACCATCAAACTAAGAGTTCTAAGAAAATTGGCATTGTTTCCACAAGAAACAAATGGTATCACTTCATTTTTAAGATATAACATTCTCTTCTCTTTGGATAAAACATTTTGTTGCCTAAAATTGTCAGTAGTTCCAGCACCATTTCTCTGGCTAACTGAATATGTGGCAGAAGTTTAAATTGTTTCCAGACCTCATGCTATTTTTATATTAGTCATCAGAAAAAATTCTATTCAGCATACTCTTCCCTCAGAAACAATTTTTCAGACAAACACCCTACATCTGAGAAGTAAGAAGCAACTGGAATTGGCATTCAGAGAAAATCCATGTTTAACAACTGCAGATTTGCTGCTAATGAATAGTTAAAAATAAATGAAGTTTCTTAACTGTTAAGTAGACATATACAAGACAACATGCTTTTTCTGGGAATGAACTATAAACAATACACAAAAAAGCACTTCATCTTTTGGCCAAAAGGTAAAAATCACCTCTTTTTAACAAACAATATTTAGAAAATATGCCACTATTAGTGTCTATTTTGTAACAATTAAACTCTTTATTAAAATAATATATCTCTTACATAAAGCTACATATTAGAAAAGAGGGAGAAGTTGTGTATCTTTTGGTCAAGAAGACAATTTTACATAAATCAGATTTGAGTGTTAGATCCAGCTTTGCTATTCAGCAGTTGCTTAACCTTTCAAAGACTTTGAAAAATAAGGATAATAAATAAGAAGATCACGTGTGTCTCTAAAACTTTGTAATACTCTGAAACCAAAACTGAGCCTTATCTTAAGGAAATGCAATGAGAGATTCCATAGAATTGGTCCATTACCATTACCAATTCCAGTACTTAACCATTTTCAATGCCAGGAAATTCATCTTAGCCAATCTAAATCTTAAGCCTTTCTCGTAATTCTTTCCATTATGTGATTAGAAAACAGAGGGTTATTTTCCCTTGTATGGAAAAAAATTAATTCTATTCTTGAATATAGCTAAGAAATTATTCCTCACATTTTCTTCTCCAGACTGAATAGTCCCAAACCTTCCTTCAAAAATCTCAATTTCCCAGAACTTCCAATACTATATTGGGCATCGTTGTCTTGTGGCGGTTTTCAAAGGAAATGCTTCCAGCTTTTGCCTATTCAGTATGATGTTGGCTGTGGGTCTGCATAAATAACTCTTATTATTTTGAGATACATTCCAACAATCTCTAGTTTATTGAGAGTTTTTAGGATGAAAGCGCGTTGAATTTTATCGAAGGCCTTTTCTGCATCTATTGAGATAATCATGTGGTTTTTGTCATTGGTTCTATTTATGTGATGCATTATGTTTATTGATTAGTGTATGGTGAACTAGCCTTGGATCCCAGGAATGAAGTGACTTGATCGTGGTGGATAAGCTTTTTGATGTGTTGATGGATTTGGTTTGCCAATATTTTATTGAGGATTTTCGCATCAATGTTCATCAGGGCTGTTGGCCTGAAATGTTCTTTTTTTGTTGTGTCTCTGCCAGGTTTTAATATAAGGATGATGCTGGCCTCATAAAATGAGTTAGGGAGGATTCCCTCTTTTTCTACTGTTTGGAATGGTTTCAGAAGGAATGGTACCAGCTCCTCTTTGTACCTCTGGTAGAATTCAGCTGTGAATCCATCTGGTCCTGGGCTTTTTTGTAGTAGGCCATTAATTACTGCTTCAACTTCAGAACTTGTTATTGGTCTATTCAGGGATTCAACTTCTTCCTGGTTTAGACTTAGGAGGGTGTATGTGTCCAGGAATTTATCCATTTCTTCTAGATTTTCTAGTTTATTTGCATAGAGGTGTTTATAGTATTCTCTGATGGTAGTTTGTATTTCTGTGGGATCAGTGGTGATATTCCCTTTATCATTTTTTATTGTGTCTTTTGATTCTTCTCCCTTTTCTTCTTTATTAGTCTGGCTGGCATTCTATCTATTTTGTTGATCTTTTCAAAAAACCAGCTCCTGGATTCATTGATTTTTTTGAAGCGTTTTTCGCATCTCGATCTCTTTCAGTTCTGCTCTGAACATAGTTATTTCTTGTCTTCTGCTAGCTTTTGAATTTGTTTGCTCCTGCTTCTCTAGTTCTTTTAATTGTAATGTTAGGGTGTCGATTTTAGATCTTTCCTGCTTTCTCTTGTGGGCTATAAATTACCTTCTACACACTGCTTTAAATGTTTCCCAGAGATTCTGGTACGTTGTGTCTTTGTTCTCACCGGTTTCAAAGAACGTATTCGTTTCTGCCTTAATTTCGTTATTTACCCAGTAGTCATTCAGGAGCATGTTGTTCAGTTTTCATGTAGTTGTGCAGTTTGGAGTGAGTTTCTTAATCCTGAGTTCTAATTTGATTGTACTGTGGTCTGACAGACTGTTTGTTACGACTTCCATTCTTTTGCGTTTGCTGAAGAGTGTTTTACTTCCAGTTATGTGGTCAAGGCAATCAGACAAGAGAAAGAAATAAAGGGTATTCAAATAGGAAGAGAGGATGTCAAATTGTCTCTGTTTGCAGATGACATGATTGTATATTTAGAAAACCCCACTGTCTCAGTCCAAAATCTCCTTAAGCTGATAAGCAACTTCAGTAGTCTCAGGATACAAAATCAATGTGAAAAAATCACAAGCATTCCTATACACCAATAATCGACAAACAGAGAGCCAAATCATGAGTGAACTCTCATTCACAATTGCTACAAAGAGAATAAAATACCTAGGAATACAACTTATGAGGGATGTGAAGGACGTCTTCCAGGAGAACTACAAATCACTGCTCAAGGAAATAAGAGAGGACACAAACAAATGGAAAAACATTCCATGCTCATGGATAGGAAGAATCAATATTGTGAAAATGGCCATACTGCCCAAAATAATTTATATATTCAGTGCTATCCCCATCAAGCTACCATGGACTTTCTTCACAGAATTACAAAAAAACTACTTTAAATTTCATATGGAACCAAAAAACAGCCCGTATCGTCAAGACAATCCCAAGCAAAAAGAACAAAGCTGGAGCCATCACGCTACCTGACTTCAAACTGTACTACAAGATTACAGTAACCAAAACAGAATGGTACTAGTACCAACACAGATATATAGACCAATGGAACAGAACAGAGACCTCAGAAATAACGCCACACATCTACAACCATCTGACCTTTGACAAACCTGATAAAAACAAGCAATGGGGAAAGGATTCCCTATTTAATAAATGATGTTGGGAAAACTGGCTAGCCATATGCAGAAAACTGAAACTGGACCCCTTCCTTACACCATATACAAAAATTAACTCAAGATAGATTAAAGACTTAAACGTTAAGACCTAAAACCATAAAAACCCCAGAAGAAAACCTAGACAATACCATTCAGGACATAGGCATGGGCAAAGACTTCATGACTAAAACACCAAAAGCAATGGCGACAAAAGCCAAAGTTGATAAATGGGATCTAATTAAACTACAGAGCTTCTGCATAACAAAAGAAACTATCAACAGAGTGAACAGGCAACCTACAGAATAGGAGAAAATTTTTGCAGTCTATCCATCTGACAAAGGGTTAATATCCAGAATCTACAAGGAACTTAAACAAATTTACAAGAAAAAAACAAACAACCTCATCAAAAAGTGGGCCAAGGATATGAACAGACACTTCTCAAAAGAAGACATTTATGTGGCCAACAAACATATTTTAAAAAGCTCATCATCACTGGTCGTTAGAGAAACGCAAATCAAAACCACAATGAGATACCATCTTACGTTAGTTAGAATGGCGATCATTAAAAAGTCAGAAAACAACAGATGCTGGAGAGGATTGTGGAGATATAGGAACGCTTTTACACTGTTGGTGGGAGTGTAAATTAGTTCAACCATTGTGGAAGACAGTGTGGCGATTCCTCAAGGATCTAGAACCAGAAATACCATTTGACCCAGCAATCCCATTACTGGGCATATACCCAAAGGATTATAAATCATTCTACGATAAAGACACATGCACACGTATGTTTATTGCAGCACTGTTCACAATAGCAAAGACTTAGAACCAACCCAAATACCCATCAATGATAGACTGGATAAGGAAAATGTGGCACATATACACCAAAGAATACTATGCAGCCATAAAAAAGGATGAGTTCATGTCCTTTGCAGGGCCATGAATGAAGCTGGAAACCATCATTCTCATCAAGATAACAGAGGAACAGAAAACCAAACACCACATGTTCTTACTCATAGGTAGGAGTTGAACAATGAGAACACATGGACACAGGGAGGGGAACATCACACACCAGGGCCTGTCGAGGGGTGGAGGGCTAGGGGAGGGATAGCATTAGGAGAAATACTTAATGTAGATGATGAATTGATGAGTGCAGCAAACCACCATGGCACATGTATACGTATGTAACAAACCTGCATGTTCTGCACATGTATCCCAGAACTTAAAGTATAATTTTTTTAAAAAAAATCTCAATTTCCAACTATTTAGAAACAATTTCCAACTACTCATGCAGTGGATTTCCTGTGATTATACTCAAGTTTTTTAGATTTTAGCTCTGGATCTCAAAACCAGACAATGAAATTCATGAAAGCTCTGAGGAGAGGTGAGTGTTATTCTCCACCAGTTTGTGGACATGGATAAGTAACACAGATATTTCAGAAACGAAGAAAACCTTTACTCCTTGTACAGCATGACCACCAATTTTGTGAAATGATTATAACTTTCTCTTTGCCAACAATGTCTTAGGAAATGACCGGGTGGTTCTCCTCTACCATCCACAAACTAAGAAGAAGGTACAAATAGCTCTTCTTTATAGTATTCTAAGGAAAGACAGATTTCAAACTAGATAGATCAAAACACTGGTTATTTTCTGATCCCTAACAATATATGATGCTTTTGTATGTGAAGTCTCAGATAAAATCATATTTATATGATGGAAAGAATTATGATGGCAGAAAGGATAGAAAGTTTTGAATGTGTGAGATCTGACTCAAAATTTATCACTTACTATCATGTGACAGCCTATGTGCTTTCCATAGCTTACCACTTGATTTTTCTGGGCATTACTTTCCTCAAATGCACTTAAGAGGAATGAGCTATCACTTCACACCTATTAGAATAGGTATTATCAAAAATACAAAAAAAAAGTGTTAACAGGGATGTGGAGAAAAGGGAGCCCTGGTACACTGTTGGTAAAAATGTAAATTAATACAGCTATTATTAAAAAAAGAAGGTTCATCAAAAAATTAAAAATAGAACTACCATATGATCCAGTAGTCTCACTACTGAATATACAGCCAAAGGAAATAAAATCAGTATGTTGATGAGCTATCTACACTCTCATGTTCATTCCAGGATTATTCACAATAGACAAGACATGGAATCAGCCTAAGTGTCCATCAAGTAAGGGAAAGAATGGATAAAGAAAATATGGTATATATACACAATGGAATACCATTCAGCCCTAAAAAGAGAAGAGAATCCTGTCATTTGCAACAATACAGATGAACCTGGAGGACATTTTACTAAGTAAGTCAGGCACAGAAAGACAAATATCATGGGATCTTACTTATATATGAAATATGAAAAAGTTGAAGTCATGGAAGCAGAGGGTAGAATGATGATTACCAGAATTTTGGGAGCCAGGGGAATTGGGAAGATGTTGGTGAAAGGACACAAAATTTGACTTAGGGAGAAGGAGTAAGTTTGGGAGATCTATTGCATAACATGGTGACTACAGTTATTAGCTACGTATTGTATACCTGAAAATCACGGACAGCAATTTTAAGTATTCTTACCACAAAAAAAAAATGATAAGAATGTGAGGTAATGCATATGTTAAATAGCTTGATTTAGCTGTTCTACAATGTATACATATTTCAAAACATCATTTTATATACCACAAATATATATAATTTTGTCAATAAAAATATTTTTTAAAATAATGATAGATACTTCCTAAGATTGTTGTAAAATTCTAATAAGATAAATAAGGTATAACCCAGATATACAGTATCCTTTTATCTACTCAGCCTAACTCTGGTACGACACTGATAGAAAATTAAACTCCTTCACAAGCATCCACAGAAAATCCATTTATAGCAAGTATATTGTACTTTGGGTATTTTTACTGAAGATTTACGAAGTCTGAGGGGGTCACATCACACAACACATAGCATTTCACTTATAGTTCTCTGTATGTTTTGTCCACAAGTTCTGTCTTCTCCTAACCTTGGGTTCAGCCTTACAAATGCTCCTTTCCTTCCTCTGGCATCCTCCTCACAGCCTGAATTGTCCCACCCTTGGTTACATGAACAATTCAGCCCAGCCTCAGCTTCTGCACTAAAAACACAGACCTTTCTCTAGCAAAATGGTCAGCAAATTACAGAACACACTGGAGAATTATAGCTAACTTGGCTTTTTTTCTACTACATAAGCAAATAATTTTCTTGATAAAGTGCTTAAGGAAAGTTACTTTTTTTCATTCATCCCTGTGGGAAATTGTATCAAAAAGAGAATTACCATTTCATGCCAAAGACAAAAAAAAACAAATATTGAATAATGATATATTTTTATCTTTATACTTTTGTTTTCTAGCTTTACAATTTATTGTTTCAAATATTTCTAGTGTTCATGGTTAACCTACTCAGTAATAAAAAATAAAATATAATGCATTGATACTCTTCAATGCAAGACCTGTGGGCAATAGTTGAATGAGCACAATTTTTATTGTTTTAGTTTGTGTTTAATTATTTTTATCTTTAATCTTTTTCTTTACTTATGAAATTCCACTTTTTGCTCTGCTTGGTGACTTAATTATTTCTAGAAAAAAGGATCCTTAACTGGAAAAGCTCTTCGAGGATTTTAGTTCCTTTGGCTATATTAAATCAAGCATGAGCCATATATCAGTGAAGCTTACTGAAGCTCTGAGATGATTAACAGAAACACAGTTTTTCGATTTACTTATCTTTCTATCACATGCCTTGCCTACTTTTGCATAGAAGTTATTAATTATATTGTATGATATTTAATTCTTAGACTACCTAATTTTAAATGTTAGCAAAGTATTTTTATTAGCATTAAATGATTCTCATAAAAGGAAAATGCTACCTTCTAAATTTCTGTGGCATAGTTTTCTCATTTTCCATTTGGGCATCTTTTTTCAAAATATCATAATTTATATAGTAAATGTATATATAAAAATTGAAACATGGAGTATCTTTTTAATTACGTTAGTTTTCTTTCTTTCCTTTTTTTTTTTTTTAAGATGGAGTCTTGCTCTGTTGCACAGGCTGGAGTGCAATGGCACAATTTCAGCTCACTGCAACCTCCACCTTCTGGGTTCAAGTGATTCTTCTGCCTCAGCCTCTCCAGCAGCTGGGATTACAGGCACGCGCCACCACCCTGGCTAATTTTTGTATTTTTAGTAGAGACGGGCTTTCACCATATTGGCCAGGCTGGTCTTGAACTCCTGACCTCGTGATCTGCCCGCCTCAGCCTCCCAAAGTGCTGGGATTACAGGCATGAGCCACTGCACCCGTCCTAATTACATTATTTTTCAAATAAAAGAGAATGCTTTCTTCTAAAATTCCAATCTTCTGGAATTAATGCTATTATCCATAATTTGGAGGCAAATCTTACAGATTACTATTAGTTTACTCTGTTTTGATTTTTAAACCTTCCTTTCTAAATACCCCCCAACTAATTTGTTAACTGAAAATACAAAAAAATACAGAAAGCTTTTTCCAAATAACACTATTCTTTTCAATTGTTTATAACAACCCAACATCATGTAGCAATTGATTGTTTGCATGAGGTTTAACATTATGAAATTTTCACTTTTTAGGTCAAAATTAGCTGAATATCAGCAATTTAATATGGTTTAGACTAATAACTATCTTTCTGTCCCAGAAGCAAAATATTGATACATATTTCTTCCTATCAGTTACACAACAAAGCTGCTAGGAAATTGCAGTAATCTGTCTCACACACACTACACAGAATGCTTATGATTTCAAATTTTTATCTCATCAACCAAGTTCTACATTTGTTTTCTCCAAATTAGGCGGTGTGTACTCTGAGAACAGAGTTGAAGATGATTGTGTTAGGGCTTTTATTCACTATGTGTAATAACCACCACATGCTATTTAATGTCATAATACTTACTGGATTACATGTCTGCTGAGATGTCTTAGACCCTGTTGCTCACTTACAGTAAATTGTGTCCTGTGAGGTTAAGGGCATAGAAAAATCTGGGAAGTTTTTTCTGGTTTTATGAATGACATCAGATTTCCAAAAGACTGCTAAATACGTGCTGGAGTTTTCAAGTACATGCTGACCATATTGCATAAAATTATTGTCCGATTGCCACATTTAAATTTTCCATAGGAATTGCTCAGTTATGAGTCACATTACATAAGTTTGACTCACTTAAGGCTCTAGCATTTTAGAAATCTACCTTATAAAAAATATATTTAAACAAGTTGGAATATTTCTATATTGTTTCTGGAAAATAGCATCAGAACTTAGATTTAATATATTTTTAAAACCTTAGATTTATTTTCTCTTTTGCAATGATGTATTATTTCATACCTTCTGGTAGTTTTCTAAATTTTTGAGTTCTCATCTCATTTCTCTTGGATATATTACTTAAACTTCCTGCTCAATTGCCATAAATTCTGTCTAAAAAATAAGATCTTAATTTATTAGCATTTAGTTTTCTTATTTTGCTAATTTAGAAAAGGTATATTTTATGAATGCTCATCACTGTAGCCTAAATTGATATTTGGAGTAAAACACATCTGCATTTGAATCTCAGCTATGCCATGCATCAACTATAAAACTTTGGGGACATTATTTTGCCACTCCAACTCTATTTTCTCATTTGTGCGATGAAGATAATAAAAACTATATGTAGAAATGAAACTAGGCAATATATAAAATACATAATTTGGGGACCAAACTATACTAAGTGATGAATAAAATCACTAATTATTAATAGCATTAATATTGTTTACCCAAAATCGAAAACAAGAAGCCCTCTGACCATAGGTCTTTTAATTATCTAAGGACTATATACAAATGTAAGCCAATCAAAATGTTCTTAACATGACCCCAAGATTCATGGAAGCTCATCAGAAAATTAAGGTAAATCAAGTAAGCAAAAACAAGTATGGCTTGTTTCATAAAATAACAGGTTGAAAACGCAAAGGCTGGGTTAATTATTACCTGCGAGTTCGGGTCAATCACCATAAATTGTTGCCGCTCTCTATACCCCTTAAGAGCCAAACATCACAGACATTACAAAGGCATATCTAGCCATTTTTCCTAGACTTAAGAATCAGGGGATGCAGGAGTCTTTTCAGGTTATAGTTTGGGAAGACACTAGGTTTTAGAAACAAGAAAAGCCCTGCTAGCCACAAAGTATACCAGGATTCTACGGACACACAATATATTTTTAAATAAAATCAAAGTATATTGTTCCATATTGTCATCAGATACAGATACTCATAGATCCAATGTCTTCATCACAGACTCACTAAAACTATTCTAAAAGAATAGCCAATTGTCAATGCCTCTATGTATTACTTGACAAAATACACTGGGCAAAACAGTGATGATCTGCAAGTCCCCTTTGGCAGTATATGCATTTGGGTTTGGAGTCAGGGACTTTCTTTTCCCTTCAGGAAAAATTGAAATCTATTTTTCCTGGGTGGGAACAAGGAGGTCAATAGTGCCCCCAGAAATGTTACCTTTACTATTAAGTATAAAAGGTTTTTTTCTAGGAAAATAAATAGTCCCACTCCCAGAATGCCAGCAGCTGACACTGAAAGTTCAGGCAAGAACAAGAAACCACAGAAACCTTGGAGATGCACTGCTAAGTCGCTACAAAACAACTTTAGGGAATATTTTCTACCACATTTCTTCTAAATCACAATCTGATAGTGTTTTTCTTATATTCCTTCTCTCGATAAGCTGAACCAGATATTCTACATCTGGTCAGACATTGGGCAGTAGCTAGTTTCAGGAAAAAATATTTCACCCTCATTGGAGAATTAAAACTTGCTTAATTTCTGGAAAATTAATTAAGTATTTCTCAATTACGGTAGATATTTTCATCTTATTGGTTTTTATACAGGAAATTTTGATGGAGGATAGTGAATGGCATTACCTTCTTGCCTGGTTAATAATTAAGGAGAACATTCAGTCAGTCAGTCAAGAAAACGTATTGTATATCAGCAATCTGCAAAGCATACTTCTTGGAAGAAACAGAAAATTAAACATCATAAGTCATAAACCATGTTTTCAAATAGTTTTTAGAATTTTTTCTTTGCCTTTACTCTTAAAATCCATTATAAAGAGTCTAACATTAGATTTTTCTTATATCCTGTTTGGCACACTCCGAGCTTTCAACCTGAATTCTTTCATTTTTCTTTGGTTTTTGAAAATCCCATGTAATTACTTCTTGAAATATTTTTATTTCTTCTTTTCTTTTTTCTCTCTCTAGGACTGCTCTTAGATACTGATACTTCTTTTGTTCTCCATATCACTGAACTATTTTCTCATCATTCTATTACTTTATTCTAATGCCTTCTAGGAGAGTTCACTGACCTAATATTTTAGCTCATTACTTCTTTAGTTGTATCTATTTTTTGATTTATTATTTTAGCAGTCATGTTTTCATAACTATCATCTCTAATTGGTCCTTCTTCATAAGAGTTTATTTTTGCCCTACATTTTGGTTACATTTCTTTAGATCTCTGAAAATACCTATTATACTTGTTTTAAATTACTATTATCTGTTTAATTTGCTCTTCCTCTATAATGTGTTATTCAAGAAAATAACATCAAGAAATACGAATATCCTTAAATTAAATGCACTACCTTTGTTTTCCAACTCTATTTTAATTTTATATTTTAAAAATTCTAGTTTAAAAGAACAGAAGAAAGATGAGAAGGAAAGAAAGAAAGAATAAGACGAACTAGCATACCCTACTATGGCAAGAACTTGATAAAGAAAAGGGAAGGAATATATACTGAAGAAAGATAAGTATTCAAGATAAAAGGAATGGCAATAATTAAGCTTATAAAGTGAGAGTAAAAAAAAGAAACACAGACTTCTAGATGATAGCAAAGAGAAATCTAAATGACAGATATTTAAATGACGGATATTTTAGAAAAGAAACCTATGTCATATTAATAGAAAAACAATCATTTTCAATTGGGTGGTATATACAAAAGTTGCATAGATAGTTATAGATATTGATATAGATATATACACAATGTTGGCCAAAATCTTTACAGGGAAGATAGCATTTTTGTAAAAAAAAAAAAAAAAATCAGACAAGCCACAAACACTTTCAGACCAGATATCAAACCTAATTTTTAAAAAGTAAATCAAAACAAAATTTAAAAGTTAAAGATGTATTATTTTTATAGCTAGAGTATTATAAGATAGTTTATTTTTTAAAGTCTACAAAAATTGCTGAATTGAACTTTTGTCATTGCAAGTGTAACAGGATGCAATGTCTAAAATAATTTACAAGAACAAGACAGTTAGGAAGATATACTACTGGGCAAGAGAAAACTTGAAATTATTTATAAATAGATTTGATGCAAAAGTTTATTCAAATGAAAACTACTATAAACTGAATATCTGTGCCCCCTCAAAATTCAAATGTTGACATCTAATCCCCAGTGTGGTGGTATTTAGAGGTGGGGCCTTTGGGAGGTCATTAGGTCATGAGGGTGGAGCCCTCATGAATAAAATTAGTGCCCTTATAGAAGAGACCCAAGAGAGCTCTCTCATCCATTCAAGCATGTAAAGTTACAGAGAGAAGACAGCTGTCTATGAACCAAGAAGGAGACCCTCACCAGATACCAAATTTGGTTCCATGCTCTTGTACTTCCCAACCTCCAGAATTGTGAGAAACGAATTTTTGGTGCGTATAAGTCACTCAGTTTATCTTATTTTGTTTATCTTATTATCTTATTATGGAAGCCTAAATGAACTAAGACAGAAAGTTTAAATTAGTTATTTTAATTTAAGCTTATCGTTCCAGCACAGATTTTCTTTTCCCTGAACTTTCATGATCCGTGTGCTTTCCTACAATAATTTAATAATTTCATTTAAACATTTTGCAGCATTTATTTTGCTATACTATAAATACCCTGTCAAGCTCACTCTTGTAGGTATAGGTGCTTCTACTTCCTACTATGCTTGAAATTACTGTGCAAACTCTCTAAATCCATTTTTTGTCTTATTTCTTACATTTTGCAAAATATGAAGGAATATACAATAAGAATTTGTATTATACAGGTCTTTAGTGATAAATCATAAAAGAACAAAGCAGGAGACCTAGAGTATGGCTTGTTTCAGAGAATTTTCTAATTCATTATAGCCCCAAAATGAGTATCTCCAATGTTGTATCAATCAATTCTGTATTTTCCAGGACAAGGTATATACATTTTACATTTGGGAAAATACTGTGAAATATTTCTTATATTGAATAAGTCAAATAGATCAACTGAGGTTCATAGCCTTAATAACTTCTACACATCTTAGGGATAAGACCCAAGCAAACAATTTCCCAGCAAGAATACAATTCTCAATGGAGAAGAAGCAACTATTTTACTTTGGACTCACCTGAACTCTTCCACTTAAGAAAGCACAGGATTATAGTTTATGGTTAACCAGTAATTCTAATACTATTCAATAAATATTAGGTCAGTGCAAAAGTTATTGTAGTTTTTGCCACTGAAAGTAACAGCAAAAACCACAATAACTTTTGCACCAATCTAATACATTATTTTTCTTATGTAATGCATAAAAGTGAATTTTTAACAATATATTTGCACGTTGTGTGGTTAATTTGCATTATTTACCATAAATTTGAATATTCATTATATCTCTTAATCTTTAAAAAATTCTATGAGATTGTCAGAATGGATTTTTTATTATTATTTCCATTTTACAAATGAAAACCTAAAATGTAACTAAATCAAGTGCAATGCTCCCTGCAATATAACTAGTAAATGGTGGAATTAGGCAAGATGTCTAAACAGAAATTAGATTGAATGTCAAAACAGTTCATCATAAGCAGTAAGAGTTTAAAGAACTTGGACTTAATGCATCAAACCACTGACCCAAAAATGCCACATGGTTATGAATAATTAGGAGAGAACCATGGCTGTGTGGCCTGCCTAGTGTAAAATTGCAATGAATGGAGCTGCTTATATGAGTAATAGACTTTGAGTTTACTGGATATTTAACAGACAGTATCTCAAAAAGTCAGACTCTCCAAATAGTGACAAAAGAAGAATAATATGGCAGTTGTCACCAACTCATCTTCATGTTTGATTCATGAGGCAAAGAAATATTTTGATTAATAACTACTCTCTATGATCAGAATGATTGCCAGTAATAACATCTCTAAAAGCAGTAAGTTCAACTGTCTTTAAAAATTAATTCATTTAACAAATATTTACTGTGTACTACAAGCAGGACTACTCTAAGGAGATATAGCAATGTACAAAACAAAGTCCCTGATCTTTCAGACTTATATTCCTCTGATAGCATCAATAAGTAAGAAACTAATAAGTACATAAGGGCCATTAACAAGAGTAAATTCTTTACACATCAGAGGCAGGCACTGGAACCCTACACTACGAAACACATTAATATTCCCATTATAGGCTGGGCGCACTGGCTCATGCCTGTAATCCCAGCACTTCGGGAGGCCGAGAAGGGTGGATCACCTGAGGTCAGGAGTTCAAGACAAGCCTGGCTAACATGGCAAAACCCCGTCTCTACCAAAAAATACAAAAATTAGCCAGGCGTAGTGGTGGGCACCTGTAATCCCAGCCACTCCGGAGGCTGAGGCAGGCAGAATTGTTAGAACCCTGGAGGCAGAGGTGGCAGTGAACCAAGATCACGCCACTGTACTCCAGCCTGGGCAAAAGAGCAAGACTCCATCTCAAGTATATAAATAAATATATATATATATCCATTATTAATAATCAAAGCATAAAAATATAACAAAGAAAGATTAAATAAAATTTGATTACATAATTTCTATGCCTCTATGCTAGCATTTTATTCAGCTCTAGAAATATATAGCATATTATCATGTATTTAAAATATTCAAATTGTTTCCCAGTGACTGGAATGTTAGTGCAAAGGTAAAATGCTGCTAAACATTTCAAAAGAAGCATGATAGTATAAAACAAGTAGAAACGTTGGAAATAAGCACCATTAATTTCATTCCTGTATCTTCCAGCTTCTCTGATGCAGTCACTTGCTCCCAAATGTTGCACTTGTAATACTGAAATAATAAAACTGATCAGAGTAAAGAAATTTATTAGGCAGAGAGGCTAACAGAGGACACACTAACACTAAGAAATTTCATATGACAACATACAAAATTAGTCTGTGTTCATCTTTAGTATATGTAAATGAAATGTATTCATTTTAGCATACCATTTTAGCCTTCCATTCTTGTTTTATACTGTCTGTCTACATTGATGCCTGGGTTCATCTTTTCTAGGTCATTGATTTTGATCTGTGAGTAGAATATTGAGCACAAGAGATTAGAACAAGTGGGTGGGATCAAACTAAATTGCTAGGTTCAATAGAGCTTTTGTGCCTCATGATCTTTAACACTCTAGAAATACTTAAATTCTAGGATAAATTCAAAATATTTACTATAGGTGCTAAAAATAACATGTATCATATTTTCTGTTAAAATCAACTTCAAGAATATAAAAGACTACTATTATACCCCGAGTTAGGAATATAAGCAACATTCAATCACTGTCTACTCAATTTAACAAATATATAAATAAATTTCCTCCTGTGGCAACAAAATAGGTAAGTATTTTTAGTTAAATATGAAGGGATAAAGAGCTATGGAGTCTTCATGTGGGGAAATATAGTACTGAATTAGTAAATGCTGTTGACTTGTTTGAAAATAAAGAGGAAGGAAAGAGGAAGAAAGGGAGGAAAGAAGGAAAGAAGGAAAGAAGAGGGGGAGAAAAAAGGGAAGAAGGAGAGAAGATAAAGAGAAAAGGAACCAGGGAAGGAAAGGACAACAAAGGCAGCAAAGGAGAAAAGATAAAATTTAAAGAAAAGAGAAAACGTTACCCTATGCAATTTTTTTGAAAGAGCAAAAAGTGAGCTTAACTCAATCTCTGTGGTCTTCCTCCCAAGAACTCATAACCCCAGTCTAATCATGAGACAAAAATAAAACAAATACTAATTGAACAATTCTACAGGACATCTGACTAGTACTTCTCAAAACTATAAAGATCATCAAAAACAGGGAAAATCTGAGAATGTCACAGTCAAAAGGAACCTAAGAAAATCTGATGACTACATGTAATGTGGTATCTCAGATGAGATCTTGAAACAAAAAAAAAGGGGGATTTTAGGAAAAAACTAAGGAAATTTGAATCAAGTATGAACTTACTTAATAATAAAACATCAATACTGGTTCATTAATTGTGACAAATGTGCCATGTCAATAAAAGACATTAAATATAGAGGAAATTAGGTGTGGGATATATGGAAACTACTATCTTTACAAATCTTCCATAAATTAAATTGAATAATTCTAAAATTAGAAGTTTATTTTTAAAATATGAGCCTAAAATTCACTCTACCAACTTCAAAAAATACCACATGAATCCAGAGTTGGTCTCTAATCTGAACCACATTCACCATTAATCTGGAAATATGTACTAAAATTACATGTTAGAAAAAATAATGCTGCTTAGCCTAACTAGTCAGAATCAGAATCAAGTTTCTTAGAATAGTTGGCAAGAAACAATTCAGGTCATGAATAAGCATACTGATATTTATTGATATTTATATGCTCATATCATACATTGCTTATATCATATATATGATATGCTTATGTCATATATTGATATTTATAGTTTTTTCAAAGCAAAATAGGTAACAATTAGTTGGAAAACAAAAGTGTTTTAATTCTAATTTTAATTATCAAATATTCCTAATCAATGACCACTTTTATGTTTAATATGGCATCCAAATATATCCAGTTCTTGCAAACTCAAGTATATTAGTCCATTCTCAAACTGCGATCAAGAACTACCTAAGACTGAGAAATTTAAGAAGAAAAGAGGTATAATTGATTCACAGTTCCTCAGGCTATATAGGAAGCATGGCTGGGAGGCCTCAGGAAACTTACAATCATGGTGGAAGGTGAAGGGGAAGCAAACACATCTTACTACGGCAGAGCAAGAGAGACAGAGAGAAGGGGGAAATGCTACACCCTTTTAAACAACCAGATCTCATGAGAACTCCATCACAAGAACAGCAAGGGGGAAGTCCGCCCCCATGATTCAATCACTTCCCACCAGGCCCCTCCTACAATACATGGGGGGATTACAATTCAACATGAGATATGGGTGGGGACACAGAGACAAACCATATCACCAAGTATTGACTAATTGACTAATATAGAGTATATGTTGCTTAACAACAAGGATATTTTCTTAGAAATGCACATGTAGGTGATTTTGATACTGTGAAAACATACAGTGTACTTATACAAACGTAGATAGTATAGCCTACTACACGCACAGGCTGTAGGGTATAGCCCATTGCTCTGACCACTGTTGTTCATGCAGTCCATTGTTGACTACTGTTCATGCCTTGTTATGTGGCACATGACTGTATAAGGTATGCTTGGATAACAAGTACTTTGCTGGGGTGTTTTATTACTTGATATGGGGTAATTCTTGTTGTTATTGTTTATTTTATGAATTCCCTTCCTCTATGACATCCATATGGACACCCCTGAGTCAGCCTTCAGTGTACTACTTTGTGAGCATGCACATGGTGTGTGTGTGTGTGTGTGTGTGTGTGTGTGTGTGTCTAGAAAAGAGTTCTCTTGAGGCTATATTCTTTATGAAGGAAGAAAGATAAAAACACAGAGCAAGGCAGTATGAACCCCTCTGCTTGTTCCTGCCCCTGAATGTGAGCATCTTCTTCTGAGACAGACCACTGTGACAAAAGTTGGCACTGTTCCCCTAATGCCAGACCACATTTCAAAACTTTCCCCAAGGCTCGACAAATCACAACTCTATTTTACCTGTTAAAGCCCTGAACCCACCAATACCTAAACATTGCTCCTAATTCCAGGACCTGCACCTCCAGAGAAAGTTAAGACAATCTGAAAAGGCCCCCTGAATTCTGACTAATAATAACCTACATCTACAGTGCAATTTCCCATCTGTATTATTTCATTGGGTGCTCACAAAAATCTCATAAGATGAGCAAGGCAAGAAATGTTTATTTTATAGAAAGAGAAAACTGAAGTTGAGATGAAATAGCTGATTTCCAGAAGGTCACATACCACAGCTACCACGGCAGAACAAGCAAGATCCCAGGTCATCTAACTTGATATTTTCCCACTAGCAGCTCTGCTTCTGATCAGGAACAATATCAAAGGCATAATTTCTGACTGATAAAAGTGGTCGTTTAAAGTAAAAGGCAAGTTTTTAAAGATAATGTATCCCTGAAGAGATGCCTTTGATAAACTAAAATGTGCTTTAGATATTAATTTCTCTGTATTCTATGACATTTTTGCATTTTTATCTCTTATTAATTATAACCATGAAGCAAATGAGTGGACAGATGAGGCATGAGTACTTGTGGTTGCACAAATCATTTAGTATGCTTATCTCCTCAAGTTTTCCCAATAAGCACATTTTGGATCAATATCATAATATCACATTTGACAAATGTCTCTGACACTACCTTATTCCACCAAGCAGCTATTATCTAATTATACTTTGAAATTAAGTGCCTGGATTCTCTGGGTGGCCTAAGGGTACCTCTAGAAAAGCTCATACGTGGTTGAAAAAAAAAAAAGACTGAAGACAAGAGAGTACTAAATTGACATAGGCAGGTCAGATTGCACAGTTTGGCATCACATTTAAGAAATTATAGTCAAGTGGCTTTTAGTTGCATCCTAACTGTCCATTTTCAGGTGGTACTTTTGCCAAACACCAGATCACTAGGGCTGTATTAAAAAGTTCAAATAGCACACTCAAATTTGAAACTATAGATATTTTTTTCTAGTTTTTCAGCTGGCACACATGAAAAGCACTTTTGAGCACCAAAAGAAGATGAAGAAATAACTTACAGTGAATGGAAAATGTTAGGAAAGCAAGGGCTAGACAATTCTATGAGTCACTACTAAGATAGCTAAAGGGATGGGGATTCCAGTCCACTCATTAAAGTGTGGGTTGAAGTATTGCTTTATTTTTCAAGAATTTCCATGGGAGGTACTCGGAGGGAAAAACGGGAGGTGGTCAGACTTGAGTACAGACAGAAAAGGCCTATCTTAAGAGTAGTGAGATACAGGCATAAGTGGAAGACATGCCACAGCACAGAAGAGACTTACAGTCTTCAATGGTTTTAAGAGACTTTATGGCACTATTTCAAAAGTGAATTAAATCCTTAAAAGAATTCTTCTAAATGAGCAAAATGTAGTTTTTAAATTATTTTAATTTACTTCCCAATTCATAAATACAATATGGAATTAGTTTTGTCTGTGATTTTAAAATCTTAGAATGTCTATTTTTAACAGCAGAGAAAAATATTCTAACATAGGAAATAATTTTAGATTCATAAGTTCCTTTGTAGGAAGAAATTTTTACCTATTATTCTTTCAAAAATCAGAAGCAAAATGTCAGAAGCAAAAAAAACTTAAGAATGAACATCTACTTTGTGGATGTTAATTTAGAGTAATATCATAGTATCTATTACCTATCTCCTGGGAAAGATATGGTTTATACTTTTGAGACAACCTGCCCAAATTTAAGAAGTATCAGTTGCATCCCTGAGAAGCCATGGAATGCAGTAGTTAAGAACACAGAACAAATATTGGTTCTGTCACATAGTAGCTTAAAATCTCAGAGTTCCATATAAAAATTAAAAAAAAAATAGTACCAAATTGAGAGTTATTTTTGACTGAAGTAAAATAGCATCTGTGAAGTACTTGGCACATAATCAATGGTAGTTATCATTAAAGGTATAAAATTTTTTTACAAAAATTTTTTTACAAAAAGCCTAATGAATGACAGAATAAAAAATGTTATTTGCTTTCCAATTTTGTTACTGACCACTGAGATATGGGCATGGAAGTGGCACAAGCACAATGGACACAGGATCAGCGACTTGGAAGGTGGGGAGGTTGGGGAAAGATGAATGATGTATGAGTGAAAAAGCCCCTTCTCTATTCAGTTCAACAAATATTTGATGAGCTCCCACTATAATCCCAGTCATCTCAAAAGATGTCTATCACTTCCTTTAAGAGGCTACTCCTGATGGTGAGATAAGACTTGTACCCATGGAACAAGGAAATATATGATGAGGTACTAAAATTAGTAGTAGTATAAAGGATTATGCAGTGACTACTTACTAACAAACCATGTTAAATTACAAGATTTAGAGCAATACACATATAAAACCAGCTGCAAAAATCATTGCAATTACTCTCCTTAAGATAATCTAAAAATGTTATATTCTACTAGTCTGCCTAGAAAAGATATAAAATCCTGACTTCTTTTTGTTACTTTATTTTAGACATCTAGTTTTTTAAATTAAGCAGAAAATCCACTTTGGTTTTATCTATCTGAATGTTAAATGTAATATTTATCTCTTAATGTCTCACACATTTCAAAAACTTATGGTTATATTTCACCCTTTATGTGCCCAAACTATTCAAGGACTTCCAGAGTTGTGTATTACATACAAGCAAAAAACAAAGAGCAACAGCACTGGAGAATTCAACAGATGACAAGAACAGCTACACTAAAAAAAAGATCAGAAAAGAAAGTATGCCACCTGCTGTTTATGGAATGAAAAGAGGTCCCACAGTAAGTATCTGAATACATGAGTCAAAGCCAGAAAAAAAAGACGTTTGGGCTTCTCTCTGCTTTCCTAGATCCTGATTTCAGCATGTTATAACAAGTTTATAACCATGCATATGTTAACTAAAGTTATTGCAAACAAGTCTAGTCTTTGTCTTTCTCCTGCACATTATAAAGGTATTAGGGGTTTTTTCTATCTACTTGTGTTGACCTCATTTGACTTGTTAAGTCCTTGAAAGTAAAGAATGATGTATTTTCTTAACTATGATTGTATAGCTTTAAAAAGCACTACAAGCAGTATCAGGCAGTCAGTAATGTGATGACTATGAATAATCATACATCAACAAACTGTATAGCCTAGAAGAAATAAATTCCTAGACACATACAACCTACCAAGACTGAATAATAAAGAAGCAGAAAATCCAAACAGATGAATAATGAGTAAAGAGATTAAACCAGTAATGAAAAGTTTTCCATGAAAGAAAAGCCTAGAGCCTCGTGGCTTCACTGCTTTTACCAAACGTTTAAGAACAAATACCTATCCTTCTCAATTTCTCTAAAAAAAACTGGACAAAAAAGAATACTTCAAAATGCAATTTATGAGGCCAGCGTTATCCTGATACCAAAGCCAGACAAAGACACTAAAAGAAAAGAAAATTACAGGCCAGTATCCCTGTAAAAATTCAAAATCCTCAACAAAATGCTAACAAACACATTCCACAGCATGTTAAAGGGATCATTCACCGTGACCAACAGGAATTTATCTATGGGATCCAAGGATGTTCAAAAAATGAAGATCAATAAATGTGATACGCCACATTAACATAATGAATGACTAAAATCATATGTTCATCTCAATTGCTGCAGAAAAAGCATTTGACAAAATTCAATATCCATTTCGCTGAAAGTTTCAACAAATTAGGTATAAAAGAAATGTACCTCGACATGGCTGGGCACGGTGGCTCACACCTGTAATCCCAGCACTTTGGGAGGCTGAGGTGGGCAGATCACCTGAGGTCAGGAGTTCGAAACCAGCCTGGCCAACATGGTGAAACCCTGTCTCTACTAAAAATACAAAAATTAGCTGGGCGTGGTGGCGTACACCTGTAATCCCAGCTACTCAGGAGGCTGAGGCAGAGAATCGCCTGAACCTGGGAGGCGGAGGTTGCAGTGAGCAAAGATTGTGCCACTGCACTCCAGCCTGGGCACCCGATCAAGACTCTATCTAAAAAAAAAGAAAAAAGAAAAAAAGAAAAGAAAAGAAATGTACCTCAGGACAGTAAAAATCATATATGACAGGCTCACTTCTAACATCATACTCAATTGTGAAAAGATGAAAGCTTTTTCTCCAAGATCAGGAACACGACAAGGATGCCCACTCTTACCATTTCTATTCAACATAGTACTAAAAGTTCTAGCAAGAGCATTAGTCAAGAAAAAAATGATAAAGCCATTCAAATTGGAAAGAGAGAAGTTAAATCATTCCTGTTTGCAGAAAACATGATCTTATATATTTTTTAAAAATCTAGACTCCACGGAGAAAGCTGCTAGAATAAACAAATTCAGTAAAGTTGCAAAATACAAAATAAACATAAACATATTAGTAGTATTTCCGAACACCTAGGTTTGTAAACCTAGTATTTCTGATTGATTTTATTCAATCAATCCAGCCTCATTTATATTAGCTACCAAAGTAATAAAATACTTAGAAATAAACTTAACCAAGGAGGTGAAAGACCTGAACAGAAATATTTTGTGTTCATGGATTGTAAGAATTACAATGTCCATGCTACCCAAAGTGATCTACAGATTCAACGCAATCCCTATCAAAAGTTCAATGACATTTTTCAAAGACATTTCTAGAAATCCTAAAATTCATAAGGAAGCACAAAAGACCTCGAAAAGCCAAAGCAATCTTGAGCAAAAAGAATGAAATTGGAGGCATCACACTACCTGACTTCAAAATATACTACAAAGCTATACTAATCAAAACAGCATGGTACTGGCATAAACACAGCCACATAAACCAAAGGAACAGAATAGAGATTCCAGAAATAAATCCATGCACTTATAGTCAATTGATTTTCAACAAAGGTGCCAAGAACACACAATGAGAACATCTAGGTTTGTGTAAGCACACGCTATGATGTTTGAACAACGACAAAATCACCTAAAAATGTATTTCTTAGAAAATGTCTCCATCCTTAAGCAACATATGACTGTACAACATTTAAAATCCAGCAATGAATAATTTGACAAAGAAGTCTGAAAAGGAATTTTCTGAAAGGAAACCAAGAGTGTAGTGTCATGGCAGCCAAAGGAGCATTTGCTGAGATGGAGAATGCCCAGTAATGTAGAATGCTGCTGAGTAGTCAAATACGTTGAAGACGTAAATTATACATTGGGTTTTGTGACTTAGAGATAAATAGAGCAAGAGTTATTTGAGGTAGAATTGTTAGCAAAATAACCAGATTAGAGTGAATCAAGGGGTGAATTTGCCATGAAAAAGAGAGATAACACATGTACACAACTTTTTCAAGTTTACCTGATGGAGGATTTACTGAAGGGAGAAGTAAGATAGAAATATTGGAGGATTTTTGTTAATACACACACACACACACACACACACACACACACACACACATTATTATATACAGGGAAAGGAAACCTCAAATACATTTTAGAAGGAGGTATGTTAGACATAACAAATATGTGAATGGTACAATATCTCAAGACAAGGGAAAATATCTCTGCTTGTAAGAAAGGAGACCTTGATGAATTAAGAAGGCTATCAGAAATTTAAAAATTCTGAAAGAATGTCTTCATTGTAGGTTCTAAAATACTGGGCCTCATTCTTGGAGACAGGCATATATTAGTAAATTTAAAATGTTTCAGAGTTTTCTATACTGGTCTTCTTTATGTCAAGAAGTTATAACATTATCTCAAAGACACATCCAATTAAAATTTAAGAATATTTAACTAATACATTTAAGAACTGTCTTTTAAGGAAAGTCATAGTGACTTTTATCTAACTCCCATAGATTGATTCCATAAATCTCAATAAACATTTTGATTTTATGCACTTTGGGTATAGTTAGTCTTCTCACTTAAGAGATTTAAATAGATGCAAGTATCCTAATAGATATCTTTATATCCACTCAATAGAGAAGGCTGAAAGGTTAAAGTTTCGCTGCCGGTTTCTGAATCAGCATTATTAGCTCTATAATCTTAACTATATCCTGGCAAGAAACAGAAAACCATTTTGCTACACATTATTTCACCATTCACTAATTCCTACAATTTCATAAGAATAAAATGACAAATTCATAAAATTGTGAGACTCATTTTCATTTTTTTGGTTTTACTCCCTTATAGTTGAAATTGATTATTTCATTCCTGGCATCTTTCCCCACAACTTTATTAGGACATTAGGTTAAATTTTTTTACATAAATTTTATCATGGATAAATTCTTTCAGAGTAGGTGTTACTTTCATGGCAGAAGTACTTCAGACATACCATACAACATGGTGGTTATAAACCACATTTGGAAATTATGACTCACTATATAGGCAAGATCATTTCTCGTCATCACAGCTTGAATTTTTATATCTGGGTAAAATTTTTTCTCATTTTATACTACTGAAAATTTTTCTGCTATTTTTTCCTGTGGAAAATTAAGCTCTTTGGTTTAAAAAAAAAACTTGCTCTATTCTATACTGGTTTGTTCCATTTCTAGGATTATACTGAAAATGTATTAATTTAGCATCTTTGATGTATCTTCTATAGAAACCTATATGGATATTTTTGGATTTTCTCTATGTTATAAAAATAGAGAGTCTAATTCCAAGGAATCCATGCACTCATTTTATTATGTGATCATAATTAACACCCCAGAAGGAAATCACTTTAAGCAATGGATAGCTCCAACCTTTATGAAATGGAATTTTGCATTTTCCTAGAGAGAAAAACAGTAGTCTACTCCAACCCAAGAAACTCCACTAAGTGATCTGATTCTTGGGAACTGGGTAAACTAATTTGATATCATTGTCAATATATACCATGGGTAGATGAAGCCACATATATTGTATGGAAGACCGCAGCTTATTAATTGATAATTTACTTTTGAAGTGAGAAAAAAATCTACTTAGGAAAATTGGCTCATGATTAACATCTATTTTAGGTAAGAAATTATCTAAGAGCTAAACTGAAACTATAAGGAAGATATCTCACCCTTACACCTTGACATTGGCCATTCTGCTGCTTCCAAAAGTTGAGGGCTTTACTGGTTAGAGCCTGCAAAAAGAACAACCCCATCAAAAAGGGGGCAAAGGACATGAACAGACACTTCTCAAAAGAAGACATTTATGCAGCCAAAAAACACATGAAAAAATGCTCACCATCACTGGCCATCAGAGAAATGCAAATCAAAACCACAATGAGATGCCATCTCACACCAGATAGAATGGCAATCATTAAAAAGTCAGGAAACAACAGGTGCTGGAGAGGATGTGGAGAAATAGGAACACTTTGACACTGTTGGTGGGACTGTAAACTAGCTGAACCATTGTGGAAGTCAGTGTGGCGATTCCTCAGGGATCTAGAACTAGAAATACCATTTGACCCAGCCATCCTATTACTGGGTATATACCCAAAGGAATATAAATCATGCTGCTATAAAGACACATGCACACATATGTTTATTGTGGCACTATTCACAATAGCAAAGACTTGGAACCAACCCAAATGTCCAGCAATGATAGACTGGATTAAGAAAATGTGGCACATATACACCATGGAATACTATGCAGCCATAAAAAATGATGAGTTCATGTCCTTTGTAGGGACATGGATGAAACTAGAAATCATCATTCTCAGTAAACTACCGCAAGAACAAAAAACCAAACACCGCATATTCTCACTCAAAGGTGGGAATTGAACAATGAGAACACATGGACACAGGAAGGGGAACATCACACTCTGGGGACTGTTGTGGGGTGGGGGGAGTGGGGAGGGATAGCATTAGGAGATATACCTAACACTAAATGACGAGTTAATGGGTGCAGCACACCAGCATGGCACATGTATACATATGTAACTAACCTGCACATTGTGCACATGTACCCTAAAACTTAAAGTATAATAATAATAAAAGAAAAAAAAAGAGCCTGCGTGCACTGTGCAGAAGTCAGACCAGAAATGCTTGAGAATTAATACTCCCATGGGAGCAATTCTCAACCGGTGACTAATGGGAGTTGGTACATAAACATCCCAGTTAACTTTTCCCTCAGCTAGGATAAGTCTGAAGTATTCTACTGTATCCCCCAGAATTTTCCAGTAGGATAGAACAAGTGGTAACTGGTTTAATAATACACTATTATCTGACTGTCTGCGTCTCCCCAGAATTGTGTTGAAATCCTAACCCACAAGGTTAGGATTAGGAGGTGGAACCTTTAAGAGGGAATTAAGTCGTGAAGGCGAAGCCCTCATGATAAGGATTAGTACTTTTATAAAAGAGACCCCAGAGAGCTAGCTATCCTCTTCAGCCACATGAGGACAGGCAAAAAGACAGTTGTCCATGAACCCATAAGCCAGTCCTCACCAGACACTGAATTTACTGGTGCCTTTTCTTAGACTTCCCAGCCTTTGGAACCGTGAAAACTAAATTTCTATTGATTAAAAGCAACCCAGAGGGCCAGGAGCGGTGGCTCATGCCTGTAATCCCAGCACTTTGGGAGGCCAAGGCGGGCACATCACAAGGTCAGGAGATCGAAACCATCCTGGCTAACACGGTGAAACCCCATCTCTACTAAACAAAATACAAAAAATTAGCCGGGCATGGTGGCGGGCGCCTGTAGTCCCAGCTACTGGTGAGGCTGAAGCAGGAGAATGGCGTGAACCTGGGAAGCGGAGCTTGCAGTGAGCTGAGATCATGACACTGCACTCCAGCCTGGGCGACAGAGCGAGACTCCGTCTCAAGAAAAAAAAAAAAAAAAAAAAGCAACCCAGGTTATGGTAGTCTATTAAAGCAGCCTGAACGGGCTGATAGCACACTATTGCTTTCCTTCCCTTCAGTGTCTCACTCCCTTACAAGTGTTTCCTGGAATCGGCATTCAAACTTGCACTATCAACCTTGTTTCCAGGTCTGCTGTTAAGGGAACATAAAATAAAATGAAAGCTATTTAATATTTTCTTCCTCCAGTTTTGAAAACTGTATTTATATAGCCTGTGTCAGCTGGCCCTGTGAAAATATATGTACTATATAATGAGGCAGAAACAGTCACATCACATTTACCTTAATCAACTCTAACATTTGATTAGAGTCGATTAGAGGAGGAAAAATCTGATACCCCTTTTTAGTTATTTCAGAGACTTTATTATATTCCTAATAACCTGTTATTCTTGGAATTTATCACATTTGTCAGTGCAATCAAATATTCTTAACATAATCACTTTCTAAAATGGAATTCATTTTTTAAGTAGAACATACTCATAAAAACTCATTTGAAAATTTCAAAGCAATAGCCAATATATTTTCATTATGTACTGGGCACTTTAAATGTTTGCCAAGAGAAGAGCTAAAGCTATATTGCAATTATGTTTTCATTTCTACAAAGATACCCTTAAATATCTATGAATAAAAATATGTCTTCCACATTTTTGGCCTCAATTAACAAATTACACACTCTTTTTTGTTTTGTTTTTTGGCACAGAGTCTTGCTCTGTCTCAGAGGCTGGAGTGCAGTGACACAGTCATGGCTCACTGCAGCCTCAATCTCCTGGGCTTAAGTAATCCTCTGATCCTCCCACCTCAGCCTCCTGAGTAGCTGGGCTACAGGTACATACCACCATGCCTAGCTAATTATTTTTAATTTTTCTGTAGAGACAGGGTCTCGCTTTATTGCCCAGACTGGTTTTGAACTCCTGGGCTCAAGCAATCCTCTTGCCTCCACCTCCCAAAGTCATGGAATTACAGGTGTGAGCCACCACACCCAGCTACACACTTTCTTTTATTCTTTCTAGAATAGAAAAGATTCCTAGAAAGTTTTATTACCAAGAGGGCATGTTTGAAAGCATGTTCCTCTGAATATTAAATATTATTCCCTCAAAATGTTCCATGCAAAGGACATAGTGGCAAATTAAGCTTGAGAAATGATTCTGTTTATCCTTTTAAAGATTCTGAGTCCAAATTAACATACTAAAGATTCCCTGGCTGGGGACTGTGGCTCAAGCCTGTAATCCCAGCACTTTGGGAGGCCAAGGTTGGGGGGTGGATCACTTGAGGTCAGGAGTTCGAGACCAGCCTGGCCAACATGGCGAAACTAAAAATACAAATAATACCAAAAATACATAAATTAGCCAGCTGTGGTGGCACGTGCCTGTAATCTCAGCTACTTGGGAGGCTGAGGCAGGAGAATCACTTGAACCCGGGAGGCAGAAGTTGCAGTGAGCTGAGATCACACCACTGCACTCCAGCCTGGGTGACCGAATGAGACTCAGTCTCAAAAAAAAGATTCCCAGAGGTCCTGAAGAAAAAAAATTATTTAACTTAGTTTGACAAAATTGATTTAGCCACGCGGATGTATACAGCACATAGACAACATGGATACAAATTCTGGTTCCACCGTTTCTAGCAGTATAAACTTGGGTGAGTTAAACTTAAATTCCGTGAGCCTCCTTTTTTAAAATTGAGATCTACAAAGAGTAAAATTGATAGATGAAAATGTACTGTTTTATAAATTTTGACAAACATATGTTCCTGTGAAATCCCACATCAATCAAAGACAGAACATTTTCATCATCTTTTTTATTCAACAGTTTGATGCTCACAGATGTGGTTTTTTTGTATTTATTCTTCTTGGGATTTTTTGAGCTTCCAGGATTTACAGGTTTCTGAAGTTTTTTAATCAAACTTAAAAAAATAGAAAACATACATTTTCAGCCTCATTCTCTTCTCTTCTGAGCCTCTAATTACATCTATTCTAGGCTGCTTGAAAATGCTCCACAAGCACTAAGGCTCAGTTCTTTTTTTGTCTTTATGCTTCAATGTAGGTGTTTCTCAAGTTTAGCCAAAAATTTTGCTGCTGCTTCCAATCTACTGTTAAGGCCATCTGAAAAAAATTTTTAAGTTTTAATACTATATTTTTTTTATTCTAGGACTTCTGTTGGTTTTTTGTTTGTTTTTTTACAGTTTCCAAATTCTCAAATTCCGTATCTCTTCACACATTATGCCCATCTTTTAAATTTATTCTTTTATGTAGTTATCCTGCTGGTCATTTTAAAGTCACTCTGCTTATTCTACTAACATCTATGTCTGTAGGTCTGTTTCTAGTGACCAATTTTTCTCTTAACAATAGATCACATTTGCTGTTTCTTCATTTGTCCAGTTATTCTAGATTGTAACCAGCTATTACTGATTATAAATGGTAGAGGTCTTTCATTGTATTACCTTCCTCTGAAGAGTGTTAGTTTTGTTTCAGCAAGCAATTAAATTATGAGTAGAAAGGTTTTGCCTTAGTCCAAATGTAAATCCCTTATTCCTGGGATATAGTTATTTTTTAAAGTATAGTCCTTCTTGGGTTTCAGTGAAAATCCTGAAGTATTTACCAAGATTCTATAATCTGATAAGACTGGAACTCCAAACTCTGTCCCTCTCAAAATATCAGCTCATCCTTTTCAAACCTTCAGCTGTTGTTTTCTTGTTGCACTATACAGTAAGACTTCTGCATATGTGCAGTTGAAAAGTAAGCAAAATAGTTGACGAGAGTAGGGAATTTGTATAGATTTTAATGATTTCCCTCTTTGGCTTCCAGTTATTGGATTCTGCCACCAATTTCTAGCCAATCTGGGAGCCCCCATCCTCTGCCTCTTCAGACTAGTAAAACTGACTTTCTGATAAAATTCTATATACTCTGTGCCATGTCTTGAAAATGCTCCCAGTGGAAAAGCCATATAAACGTTGATCTCAACCATGGTGGTGCTCATCTTTGAAGAAACAATTCTCCTCCAGTTTTATCTGCTTTTGATTGATTTCCAGTAACTTCAAAGATTTTTAAAAGTATGCAGTTTGTAATTATTATCAATAGGATAATTAATTCAATACAAGCTACTGCACCACTACTGGAAACCAGACTGCACCTCTGAAATATCTTTTCACTATTTATTTCTAATTTTATTACATTATAGTCAATGCAGTCTTATGGCTACATTAAATTTGTCATTATTTTAGGGCATTTTTTAAAACTCTAAAATGAGGATGATTTTTGTGTATGTTTTGTCTCTTTGAATGTGAGGCACTTCATATGTTATTATGCATGACATGCTAGTACCAAAATATCTCATGTATCCCATAAATATATATACCTACTATGTACTCAAAAAATTAATTTTTTTAATTTAAAAATTGATACATAGTGATTCACCTTTGTACTCATATAACTGAAACTTACTTATTATTTGATGAAGAGAAATCCAGATGCTTTCATATTGTGTGAGCTTTTCTTTTAAATGTTCTTACATAGAAGTCTAACCCACATAAAACCACAACCACAAAAATGTCCTTCCCATCTTTGATTGTAACTAAATACCTACAGTCTTGAAATTCTTACTTTTTCCAGAAGCTGAAGTGAAGTAGAGGTGGCCCCTCAATGCACATTTATGCCATGTTATTTCTCCACTCTATCTGCCAAACCAATGAAAGACATTTTCTCAAAAATGAATACCACTGTGAATTCAAAGAGTTGGAATTCAAACATAATATCATTTATTTTTTCAACCACTGTTTTTAATAATACTTTGTCAAATATTTTTCTCATTCCTTAATGTTATATTTGATAGATTCCATAACTTTCTAGTAACTTTTGGTTATTAAAATCCAGTCCAATGTAAAGTTGCAATCTCAAACTCAATCTAAACTTTCTTGGCCCTAAATATGAGGACAGAATTTGACTGCTAGAGGTAGTGATGGGACAGGAAACAGAGACAGCCTGTATGTATGTATTATTATCTCCCTTCATCACTCTTTCTCTTCAAAGCCTAGCTCCTTTAATGGGTTGAGGGTAGGGAAAATGGAGAGGGAGAGAAACAAGTGCCTTTTTGTTTGACTGGCTGCTATTATAACCCTCTCTGTGACAGATTTCTCTGCTTCTCTGGCTGGACATTGATGCCTTATGCATGGAAGCCATCCAAATCCTGACTCTCTTGTGACGGTTGTATGAGTTAATAGAAAAGCCTTGAAGAGTTCCCTTATAACATAATTCTCTGCTGAAGTACCTTAAGCTCCAGGTCAACCTCATTCTCCAATTCCATCTCCCTCCCATGGCTATACATCTACTGCCTCTTCCTGCTGGGGTCCCCCTGACCAGCAAGAAGCTAAGTAGGGTGGCCGAAGTCTGCTTACCTTCTATGATATATGCCTGACTTCATCTTTGCTACACCAGATGGTGGGAGTGCAGTCTGTCTCCATTCTGCCAACAATCTCTTATTGTATTCTCATTCATTGAAATAGACCAAGAGATAGATTAGCACACTGGCTAAGCAGACATTCAAACAGGAAACAAAATCCCAGCCAGTTTCTCCTTCTGGTAGGAACCTCCATTCTTTATGAGTGACTCTCTTAGAGCCCCTCCTTCTCCCAGTTTGGCTTTAGAAAGAAAAGAATCTCCATTTCTCCCCTAAGGAGGAGTAAGGGATATATCTAACACAATCACTGCATGTATGACACTTTCCATCTCTCTAACCTATTCATTTCATATAAGTGAAAGATCATAATACAGAAGGGTTAGTTCCATCACTTACTACTAACTCTGAAGGAAGTGTAAATTATGGGTACTTAATACCTCAGACTTTTCAGCTTTGACCCTAAACATTGAACATTGAGTCCCACTGAATATCCTGATACAAAAGCAAAATTTAACATTTTTAATGCTATCCCACAGCTTTTGTCTACTATTTTCTAAAGTTGTATTTTGCTTTGTTTTTCTAAAAGCAGTCAGGAAAATAAATATTGTATTAAACCCACAGTTATTTGCATACAACTAATAATTGAATTTTCCAGACTACTATGCAAGAAGTATATTTACTATTTTGCTGGCTTTAAGCTAAAGTTTTTAAACCATTAGGTTTCAATATGCATATTCAGATATACAATTCCATTGACTTTAAAAAAAACAGAAGTAATTTGAAAACTGCATTAATTTAAAGAGGTCCTGATTGCGTTAACGCTATCATTTATTAAGATCATCTTTTTTGTTGTCATATAGACATATCATCAGGTTTAGGAAATATCTGAACCCCAGACCCATGAGCCCACCTCGATACGTGGCTCAAATGCTAACTAACCTGCAAAGAAGAAGAACTGCTGAGATCTGATATCAACATTCTGCCTATAATTCGTGGGGCAAACATATTTTAATATTTTAAGAGTATACTCCCTAATGGTACAATATAGTCATTTTAGGACATGAAATATGATGGGTGTCTGTCAAATATTACTTGAAGATACCAAGAAGTTATGGGAAAGATGAAGATTAAATTGCATTGCCCTTTTTATGCTGTTCCTGGGCTGATGTTTAATGAAGTTCACAGCATCCATATTTCAGTGTTGGAGGAGAACAATCGATCTGTTTTGTTTCAATTCCAAAGCAAGTCATGGTGCTTGCATATTGCATTTAAGTACTGGATTTAAGCAAAAACTTAATAAAAAATGACCCTAAATCAAGAAGTTCTTTCTTAATGTAGATGAGACCCCATGACATCTTAAAAAAAATAGCAACACCCAGAATTATTAAGAACTAACCTATTGTGCAAAGTGGAACTAGAGACTTGTGTAAGGATGCCCTCTATGGCCTTTAAAATTCATCATAAGTAAGCATATACTGGCGGCAGTTCTCATGAAAGAAAAGAAAGAATAGCCTGTTCAGCAAATCATTCCATAGTATGCATCAATCTCCAGGTTAGAGAACCCCTTTAGGGACTGTTATACACAGATACCTGAGCCAAGCAGGGTCAAGATTCTCATGACCAAGTAATAACACTTACAGTCTTCTGACTGAAAATGCAAATTCCTTGCCAGTCAGCATATTATACTTTCTTTACAAATTATCTTTTTTCCCTGCAAGAAAAGTTGGGTGGACATATTTTTATGGATGTTTCTATCTTTCTCTCTGTGACTGTATTTTTTAAATCCACTCTACACATTCTCAGAAGATAATCAGAAATTACACCAGAAACTATTCTTCTAGAGAGACTGTGTAAAATTGGAAGTTTTTATTATATCCACGTTTTCTGTTATCATCTATATTTTCTTCACTGTATTTAAAAATAAAAAAATGTGTGTATATGGCAGCAAATGTGGAGAAACAAAGAAGCTTTGTGTTTAGGACAGCAAGAAAGGAAGAAGGCTAAAACTGTATCCCCATTCTTCAGTCAAGTCTTGGAAGGGGAAAAACCCCAAAGAATAAGATGACAATCTTCCTGAGGGAGGAGAAATAGACATGTCCTTGAGGAGCTACAGCCAGAGGCGGGACAGCCCTGAAGACTGGGTGTGTCTGAGAAGTAAGTAGCAATAGCAGTAGGCCTAGATGGTCCCAAAATGTGCAAAGTGGCATCCATACTGCAATAGGCATTGGCCATGGTTCAGACATGTTGGAGTTTTCATTCTAATGCTGCCCCAAAGAATAGAAATGTGACTTTGTGGAAGTCAGATAGTCTCTCTAAAGACTTTCCTTAAAGGAAAATGATCATGTGTTCACCATCTCAAAGGATTTTTTGTGAGAATTAAAGAAAGATGATCTGGCTGGGCATGGTGGATCACACCTATAATTCCAGCCCTTTGGGAGGCTGGGGCAGGAGGAATCCTTGAATTCAGGAGTTTAAGACCACACTGGGCAACATGGAGGAACCCTGTCTCTACAAAAAATACAAAAATTAGCCAGTGATGGTGGCAAACATCTATAGTTTCAGCTACTCAGGAAGCTGTGGTGGGGGATTGCTTTGAACCCAGGAAGTAGAGGCTGCAGTGAGCCATGATCATGCCACTTCACTCCAGCCTGGGTGACAGAGTGAAACCCTGTCTCAAAAAAAAAATGATCTGTGACAGCATCTCCCTCAGTCCATGTCTGCCACATTAAATGTTCATGGAAATAAAAGGTAAATACAAATGTAATACTGTTAATTACACTGGAACAACAATATGCTTCAAATACACCTTTCTGATACCCTACCCAATTCACTTAAACCACTTAAAGCCAAGTAAAATAATGTATTATCTGCTAAATCAGAATCATTAAATACTTGGGAAATAAGAATCTCTATAGTTTTATCTTAGAAGTTACCAAATTTGTATGTGTTTATTTGTATTCTTTAAAAAATCTATCATTTTTGCTGTTTTTTCCTCACAGTGCAGTGAATTACACCAAATTTACAAATCTATATGAGATTGTTTGCCCAAATTTTATGGACTATCATGTTATTAAAGATTGTCACTGAAAAATAGGTAATAACATGGTAAACAGCTCCACAATCTGGTTTTACGGCATGAGTTACTCAAAAGATGAACTTCACCAGAGATTCAATGTATTTATCAAACTAAAGGATAAAATGCCTTGAATGCAGAAGAAACCACAAAATAAAATATTCTCCACATTTATTTGACATATTCATAAAATATTCATATTGTTGTATCTTTCTTTTGTTAGAAAACTAATTATTACCTAAAAATATATATAGAAAGAGTTTCCTGAGGAAAGAATTTTGTGCTAACACTAGTCTGTATCTAAATCATAGAAAAGTAGAAATCAAAACACAAATACAAATTTTTTTTCAGACGTCACAGAACATACGTAGTGATTTAGCCAGAATTAAAGGGGATAATACTATATCTCCAAAAATTGAATAACTATTTATTTGAATAAACTTTTCTACGAATTTCCTCACTTAATCTGATAATTTCATTATGAAGATCCCATTTCTCTATATCCTAAATTTACAGTTTACTGAAAATCTACTCTAATTTTTGTCACTAGTTGCAATTAACCAAATTAGTGTGTTTTAGGCAAATTTGCCTGTTCAAAGTAGTAAATACTGAAATTTCCCAGTGATTTTCCTATGAATCACATAATTCTGAGATGTAAACATCTCCCAATATTGTCCACTAGCATTTAAAACTCGAAAGCTTCTCTGAAGTTAAGGGGCTGTTTGCTTAGCAACATTTTAGGATAATGGCAAAACATTATAGTATGAGAAGCCTGAGCTTAAGAAGCCAGCTCCGTACTCTACAGACCCCTCTCAATTTCACTCCAACAAATACTCAGAATATATAACTTCCTGAACAGGTGGTAAGTGGCAGGGCTCTCTCATCCACCTCACTCTCTCTCTTCCTATTTTCTTATAGGTCATTCTTGCCCAACAACCCTGATCTAAAGTGCACTTCAAAAAATAATATCTTAGAATTACAGAAATCCCCATTATGTGTGGTTTTGCTTTTCACAATTTCGGTTACCTGTGATCAATCAAGGTCCAAAAATAATGAAAGGAAAATTCCAGAAATGAACAAATGCATTTTAAATTGCCCACTGTTCTGACTAGCATGATGAAATCTTGAACTGTCCTGCTTCATCAAGCCCAAACGTTGACTCATCCCTTTGTCTGACATACCTACACTGTCTACACTCCTGGTCTGTCAGTCCCCTAGTAGCTGGCTAGGTTATCAGATCAGCTGCTGTGGTATCATAGTGTTTGTGCTCAAGGAACTCTTACTTTACTTCGTAATGGCCCCAAAGCCCAAGAGTAGTGATGCTTTCAATTTGGATATGCCAAAAAGGAGCCATAAAGTGCTTCCTTTAAGTGAAGAGATGAAAGTTCTCAACTCAATATGAAAACAAAAAAATGGTGTGCTGAGATTGCCAAGATCTACATTAATAAGAAATTTTCTATCCATGAAATTCCGAAGAAGGAAAAAGAAATTTGCACTAGTTTCACTGTTGCCCCTCAAACTGCAGAAGTTACAGCCACAGTGCATGATAAGTGCTTAGTTGAGATGGAAAGGACATTAAATTTGTGGGTGGAAGACATAAACAGAAACCAACTGACAACAATTGGTTTCCAGTTCAGTACTATCCACAGTTTCACGCATGCATGGAAATCCTAGACATTCCTCCCAAATAAGGGAGAACTACTGTATTTCTCTTACATTCATTTCTTTTATATAAAAGCCCTTTGTAAACTATAACACTGTTCAAGACTTGCTTTCAGGTGCATGTTTCCATTCATATTCTCTTTTCAATAAATTTGCCAGTCACTGCCACCTCTATAGGCCCCCCAAAACTGTTCCTGGGTATTCACCCTGGAGTTGGTCCTGTCAAACCACCTAAAGAGCTGGGAACATGACTAATATTCCATACTAAATCCTCTCCTGCTTAAATAAGTGTTAAAGCAAACTAAATATGGCCTGAGAAGGACTCTGTACTTCTACATTTGAGTCCTTGTAGATGAACTGTAACCTAGCTTAATAGTCAGACAAAATTCAAAGCCTAACTTAATAGTATGCACTTGTAACAATAGCTGAGTGTTGGCCAATCCCAGCAGCACACTTCAACCACTCATAGACTGCTGAATGTTCAAACTGTGTTCAAATAAGGCAAACGCGGAGCTGTAACCAATGTCACTGTTTCTGTACCTCACTTCCAATTCTTGTATGCCACTTTACCTTTTTTGTCCACAAATCTGTTCTGACCACGAGGCACCCCGAGAGTCTCTGTGAATCTGCTGTGATTCTGGGGGCTGCCCGAGTCATGAATCGTTCTTTGCTCAATAAAACTCCTTTACATTTAATTTGGCTGACGTTTTTCTTTTATCACAAGCTAGAGTAGATTAGGTCTCTGCAACTAAAGATGCTAGCAATATGGTCTTACATTTTATGTTCTGTGAAGGTCTTTTTCTGTATCTCAAAATTTTGCTATATTTTAAGGCCTGTATGTATGTATAACTATGAGTTTTTTTCCCATTGCCTTTCTAATTAAGTTTGCTGTTATATAAAATAGTCACATTGTTCAACTGTTTTACAAGTTCTAATTATTATACAATCAGTTGTCTTGGATTTCATAAGTAAATAATCATTTTACCAAAAATAACAAGGGCTTTATTTCCATTTTTCCAATATTCATAACTCTCATTTTTTTACCTTGTCACTTTAGCTAAGATTAGCAGCACAATATTCATTAGTAATAGTGATACAGATAATAGTTGTATTAGTCTGTTCTTGCATTGCTATAAAGAAATACCTGAGTCCAGATAATTTATAAAGAAAAGAGGTTTAATTGGCTTGTGGTTGTTCAGCCTGTACAGGAAGCATATTGCCCGCATTTGCTCCTGGGTGACAGAGAGTCAGGAAGCTTACAAAGGTGAAGAGAGAGCAGGCACATCACATGGCAGGAGCGGAAGCCAGAGGTGGGGGAAGGTGCCACACTTTAAAACAATCAGATCTCATGAGAACTCACTCACTGTCACAAGGACAGCACCAACACATGAGGGATCACCCCCATGACTCAAATACCTTCCACTAGGCCCTAACTTCAACACTGAGGATTGCATTTCAACATGAGAATTGGGCAGGGACAAATAGCCAAACTATATCACCAGTCATTCTTATATTTTTCTATATGTAATAGGAGGTGCCTCCAAGCTTCTGGTTAAGTAATGAAGTAAATAAAATTTAATCACTTTCTTCTCAGTGAAAAGTATATTATGCCATGCACTATGTGCTAAGTACAAAGTTTTTCACTGAGAAAGTGATCAAATTCTATTAATAATGCAATCAAATTTTATAAATAATATGAGTAAGTCAAGTCAAATAAGGACTGAGAAATGACTGCTTATGAGGCTCATAAAAAAGAAAACAAATATATTTGAAGTTTGAAACAAACAAAATGGAAAGAAAAAGATCAGGAAAATACTAACAAAAGCTAACAGCAATTTTTAACATTAGACTCCAAAACAAAATTTAAAAGATGGAATATTTCACATTGCTGCCAGAAATAAAATAATTGCTATCCACTTGGTATCAGCAGCCTCACAAATCTACCATCCCAGTAGTGGCATGTGAATAAAGTAGTTCTGGTAGGAAATGCGTGGGCCCAACAGCAGAGCTTCGCATTTACGAGCCTGCTGCTATGATTTGAATGTTTGTGTTCCCTCCAAAATTTATGTTGAAACTTAATCGCCAATGCAGGAGTATTAACTGGTGAGGCCTTTAGCAGATGATTATTTCATGAGGGCTTCTCCTTCATGGATAAGATTAAAGCCCTTATAAAAGAGACTTCACAATATATTCGGCCCTTTGGCCCTTCTGCCTTTCACCATGTGAGGATGTAATAATGAGTCATTACCTTGGAAGCATTGAGTAAACCCTCACCAGATACCAAACCTGACAGCACATTGATCTAGAACTTCCTAGCCTCCAGAACTGTTACAAATAAATTTCTATTGTTTGTAAATACCCAGTCTTTGGTATTTTGTTATAGCAGCACAAATGAACTCAGATAGCTGCTTTGCCTACTTATGCCACCAAATGTCCAATCTGCCAGTAGGAGAAACCTACACTGAAACTCTTATACAGCACTATTCCTTGAAGAGATCAACAGGCTAATTGGCGACAAGTTGATTACACTGAATATCTTCCATCCTGGAAGAGAGAGATATTCAATCTAAAAAAAAAAAAAAAAAACTAGACATATATGCTGGATTTAGATTTGTTCAACCTCCCTTCAGGGCATCAGTCAGCACCTCTTTCTATTAGGACATGTTTGATCCACCAGCATGGGATTTCTCAGAATAGTGGATTCACTTTACAGGAGAAAAGTGTGGAAGTGAGTCCAATAGCCTGCTGGAGGCCATTTCAATTTTCTCTTGAAGGACTATTGAATCGAAGCACCAGCTTAGCTCAGAAGCAATGTTCTCTGAGAATGGGGTGCCATCCTCCAACATACAATACAGACATTAAATCAAAGAACTTTGTACTAGTATTGTGCCATGCACTATGTGCTATGTACATTTGTATGTTTCCAATAGAAAGATTGAAGGGTTCCAGGAATCAGGGAGGGAAGCAAGGGTGGGCCCACTCACCATACCATCGTCCTTAATCACCCACTGAGGGACTTGAGCACATCTTTCCTACCTAACATGCTCCAGAGCACTCCCCATGGAGTTGATTGAAACTTTGTTGGGTCTGCATCACATATTAGCTTATCTGTCTATTAAATCCTATTTTCTCCCAATTCTTTCCACAGGTGTTGATCCCTAATCATTAACCTGTACTCCAAACTCCATCTCAGAATCTGATTCCACATAACAGGACCTATAATAAATGCATCTTCATCATGTGCATTTTTAGGAATGCTGTCAGAACCATTTTCACATTTCTAACAATAAACAAACTGGTGTGCTCATTAATGAGGGAATTCTGGTGCATAGCTTCCTCAATGAGGACCTGTCTTGACAATGGGAAGTGACACAGATTCTATTAATGTTAGCTTGTTTTTATTACCCAACAAGTCACCATGCTTAATTCAGCTGTCATTCTTTCTAAAATAAGAATGCCATTACTTGACATTGCTTTTCACAGGGACTATTTGACAGCCTTACAGATCTCTAGAATAATTCCGCTTTCTTTCTTTGTAAGTTACAAGAGTTCAAAGTACAAGAGTTTATCACTTGCTCTTGGTTAAAGTTTATTTCTTTGTATTATTGGTGTGATGAGTGTTTGAGGGATTGAATGAACAGTGCGTTAAACATTCTAAGTGTAAAATGTAATTATACATAACCCTCCTCCTTCATTAACCAACATTATCCACCCATTTCCTCAAAATATAATGTGACCCAATAAGTAAATTTCTAATATGCCTATTTTGTATGTCTTTGTCTGCCTTAAAGAAAATACAAATTACTGGAAAAAAGTTCATTGATATATTTCTTAAAACATTAAAACATGCTAATATGAATTCAGTCTTCAAAGGTGAAAAAGAGATTCCACATATATAACACATCTGAATTCCTTTTACAGAAATTATTTTAATTCATTTAGTATTTATTTTTCTTCCCTTTACACTTAAATTTTAATGTTGGGACAGTAATGATTATGAAGCAATTGTGTACTCTGGTTACATTTCTTTAAACAAAATCGAAATATGGTGAGATTTTTAGCTTACTTGCTATCAATTAATATTCTACCTATATATAAATTATACATATAATACTTAGAAAATTTTGAAAAAGCATACATGAATAGCACATTATAAGGAGGTAATAAAAATTAAAAATTAATAAGCAGAAAGAGGAAATTCAGTATACAAAACAAAAATTAGACAATAGAGTCCTACCACTGCACATTTTTAAATGTGTGTCAATCAGGATTAATAATGCCAGGTGCTATAACAAACAATATCTCAGTGG
Organism: Homo sapiens; assembly: GCF_000001405.40. Lineage (NCBI taxonomy): Eukaryota > Metazoa > Chordata > Mammalia > Primates > Hominidae > Homo > Homo sapiens. The sequence continues at coordinate 189,307,557 of NC_000002.12, forward strand.
ATTTGTCAGAGGCCATCGAACCAGAGCGACTCCATTTTGAGTGAGGGCTAGGAAAATGAGGATGGGGCTTGCTGAACTGCATTCTCAGAAAGTCAGGTATTCTTAGCCTCTAGATGCTTACAGTTAAGGGAACAGATTGATAATGTTTACTAAACGAACCCAGATTTGGGAGTGTCAATATCTTGATATCTTGAGAACAAAAGCATTCCTAATTTTGCTTTAAAGATGAAAATATTGATTCTT